>NT_187640.1:0-204239 GCF_000001405.40 Homo sapiens | reverse complement strand
GAATTCCCCATGAGTCCTGTGACCTCAGCCCACACGGGGACCTACAGGTGCTACGGCTCACTCAGCTCCGACCCCTACCTGCTGTCTCACCCCAGTGGCCCCGTGGAGCTCGTGGTCTCAGGTGAGGGCGCTGACCCTGTCCTCTCTGAGCTCAAAGGCTCAGCTCAGGCCCTGCCCCCAGCAGAGCTCTGGACACTAAGGAAAGAGGGGAGTGAAGGGAGAGGGTCCGCAGGGGAGGGTCCAGCCCATGGGAAGATGGAAATAGACAGGGACCTCCCACCCCTGGCTCCCACCCCTGAAGTCTCAGTAGAGTAAAGTGCAGGGAGGGCTGGGAGGAGACGGGGGGTGAACCTCAAAGGAGTTGAGATTAGACTGAGGGTGGAAGACGGAGGCCCCACCTGCTCCCATCCTGGTGTCTCCACCTCAGAATCAGAGCCTCTGTGTCCCAGTCCCCAACAGACGCCCTCCTGGAGAGAGAAGCATCCAGGCTGCCGGTGCCACCTGCATCCACCCCCGACCCCCCCCCACCCCGCCCCACTTCCTGCTTTCCCCTGCAGCCTCCCCAGCACTCAGCGCACACCTGAGCCTCACAGGGACTTGCACGTGCTCCCGCAGCAGCTCAGGGAATGTGCACCGCTCCTCTTCTGCGCCGTTGACATTTTTTATTTGGGTTTTTAAAATCTCATATTGGCCTTTTTGTCCAAGCTGGTGAAAGTAGATTTGCAGCATCACCTATTTTTATTCTCACCCGGTTTCGTAATAGCCCTGATCTCACGTGCTCCCTGAGGTTTTGTAAACTTCAGGTAGAAATGTGGACTTCCTTCGTTCTGGACATTTGCTATGGAGGGGGTAGGGCTTATCTTTTCAGAAAAAGTCAAATGACTGGTACCACTCCTTGAAACCCTACAGCACTTTCCAGACCTCAGAGGGAGGGAGAGAGAGGCAGAGACAGAGACAGAGAGACAGAGAGAGAGATATTGGGGCCGCTCTTTCCTGGCCGGTTCATCCTGGCCTATTCTCAATCCACCAAGGCCCCGAAGCTCATCTCCCCTCCTCCTCTGCCTCCTCCTCCACCCTGTAGACAAGCGGCCATTCCTTTCTGAAGAACAGGCTGAGACCTTTCTGGGACCTGCTCTTTCTGGAGCCTCTGTTGCTCCCTGTCTGGGTCTCCACACGCCTCCTTCCTGGCCCTTTTTCCTATTGAGGAATCAGCTTCAATGTCACCTCCAAGTGTGACCTTCACTGACGACACAGCTCAGCCCAGTCCTGCCTGCTTCTCATTTATGTCAAGTAATTAACCAACCTACACCATGCGGCTGAATTCCTTCTCTCTCTCTTCCACTCTCTGCATATACGTGTGTGTGTGTGTGTGCGCGTGTGTGGTCACACCAACATCTTACGTGACATTGAAACCTAGTTATCCGTATATCTATACAAATAATATATATTCACACATAAATATAGGTCTCTACCAATATATCTAAAACCATTGCTACGACTAGTAAATTTCCACTGCTGTGTTTCTATATGTTTGCTGTTTGTCTCCAGGTGAACCCACACTTCAAGAAGGCAGAGATAGTTTTTAAGGCCCACTATATATATAAAACAGATATATATTTGTGTTTGTGTTTTTCTGTGTGTGTATCACATTCTACCTGTTGCTGCCTATACGAATAATTAGCTACCTAGAGATTAAATGGACAATGAAACTCCAGGTGAAGTGGCTGAGGGCATGAAGGGGAGGCAGCCCCAGAATTTCACCCCTTTGTGCTTCTGACATTGAGGCTCCCCTGATGACTAACCCTCATCCACGGAGCCTGGGTCCTCAGCTGGTGGATCCGTGAAACTCTCATCTCCGGGGGAGTTGGCTCATGTTCTCCTGTGTCCCAGGCTGCACAGAGAGCACACAGGCCTTAGTGACCTCTGTACTGGGGACCACTTTCCTTGCAGATCCTGAGCTCTCAGGATGCAGGAAAACTCTCTCCCAGATGACTCAGGAGCAATGTTTAAATCCATAGAACACAGGAAAACTGAAATCGTTCAATGAGGAGACTAGAGGGAATCCTGCTAGCGGAGGAAGAGGTTTTTTTTTTTTTTTTTTAGAAATTCTGTAAAAGTCACATCATGAGACATTAAGTAATAAAAAAAAAATTGCAGAGCCCAGGTGAGAGGCTGGGCTCAGGTCTCTTTTTCTCTGTTTTGATTCTCTGGAGCAGCTGATACCCTCAGCCCATCACAAAACAAGTCTGACTCTGAGACTGGTATGTGAGGAGATACTCTCAGTGATGGGGCTGGCACTGAGGGTTGGGTCCTGTGAAGGGGAGGTGGGTGCCCTGGGTGGACAATCTGATCCACCCTGACCTCTGTGACCTCTTTGTCCACCATCCCCAGCCTCACACCTTCAGGATTACGCAGTGGAGAATCTCATCCACATGGGCGTGGCTGGCTTGATCCTGGTGGTCCTCGGGATTCTGTCATTTGAGGCTTGGCACAGCCAGAGAAGCTTCCCAAGATGCAGCCGGGAGGTGAACAGCAGAGAGGATAATGTACTTTATAGAGTCGTGAAGCCTCAGGAACAGATCTGATGATCCCAGGAGGTTCTGGAAGAAAATCTAGGGCCGATGCTATCTGGACTGTCTGCTGGTCATTTCCAGAGGAAGGAATCAATGTCCGAGTGCAGGGACATTTTCTGGGGTGATCCATGGAGAACCATTAAAATGTGATACCTTTCCTCTCCATTAATGTTGACTTTCCTTGGTTGGATCTGCCTCTTTTCCCACACTTAGACATGAGGCTCCATCCCACATGGCAGCGTTGGGTCCACACCTCTGCACACCTGCATGCTCTGGTCCATGGCGTGTCACACAGTCCTCTTCATTTCTCATTGCCACACTTCCTGGTGTACTTTACTGGGTCTTCATGTCTTCAGTTCAGAGTTCCGCACCTGGTTTAGGAACTAATTCAACGGGAGAAGATCAGAGTCCGACCAGGAAAAGATAAATGCACCGTGATGCCCTCACCTCCTGTGTGGACCCTATGAGCTCTTCCCTCCTTATCAGATGCTATCTGTGTAGTTTCTCCTGAAATATCACCACCTGGAATCAACACACTGGCATTTGAAGTCACGACCCAATGGTATGCTAATTCTGAAAAAGACATTTTTTGAAATGCTATGATTAGTGGCATTTACCAATTTCCTTGACGTAAATTCTTTTTTCATGGCCATAATCAAGATGCCAACGAGACATCCCTGAATGCAGGGTTGGGAAGCGTTGGACAGACTTGTCTTCACTCATAAGCACCAGGCATCTGATAGCTCACGTATACATCTTATTACCTTCCATTTTAGAGTGAATAATCATTTCTACTTCAGTATTTTGGCACAGGTAAAAGCAGTCCCATTACTGCGCGTATACCCAAAGGAATATAAATCATTCTATTGCAAAGATACATGCACACATGTGTTCATCGCAGCACTATTCACAATAGCAAAGACATAGAATCAACCCAAATGCCCATCAATGATAGACTGGATAAAGAAAATGTGAGACATATACACCACGGAATACTATGAAGCCATAAAAAGAAACAAGATCATGTCCTTTGCAGGGACATGGATGGAGCTGGAAACCATTATCCTCAGGAAACTAACACAGGAACAGGAAATCAAACGCTGCATGTTCTCACTTACAAGTGGGTGCTGAACAATGAGAATGCGTGAACACAGGGAGGGGAACAACACACACTGGGGCCTGTCGGGGGGGGGGTGGGGTAGGGGTAGGGAGAGCATTAGGAAAAATAGCTAATGTATGCTGGGCTTAATACCTAGGTGATGGGTTGACAGGTGCAGGAAACCACCATGGCGCACATTGACCTATGCAATAAGCCCACACATTCTGCACATGTACCCCGGAACTTAAAATAAAAATAAAAATTAAAATTAAATTATGACACCATGATCCTAGCATATCCAAAAAAGACAAAAATGCCAATATCAAATGTCGGAGAAAATAGGGCTGAATTAAAAATCCAATACAACGCCGGGCGCAGTGGCTCACGCCTGTAATCCCAGCACTTTGGGAGGCCAAGGTGGGTGGATCACTTGAAGTCAGGAGTTTGAGACCAGCCTGGCCAAACGTGGTGAAACCCTGCCTCTACTAAAAATACAAAAATTAGCCGGGTGTGGTGGCACTCGCCTGTAGTCCTAGCTACTAGGGAGGCTGAGGCAGGAGAATCACTTGAACCCGGGAGGCGGAGGTTGCAATGAGCTGAGATCATGCCACTGAACTCCAGCCTGGGTGACAGAGCGAGACTCCGTCTCAAAAAAAAAAACAAAAAAAAAAAACCCTCAAAAGCTCAGGCAGCAAAAGCAAAAATAGGCAAATGAGATCATAGCAAACTGCAAACCTTCTGCACAATCAAGGAAACAAACAGCAGAGTGAAGAGACCACCTACAGAATGGGAAAGAATATTTGCAAGCAAGAGATTAATCTCCAGAAAATACAAGGAGCTCAAACAATGCAGAGGTTTTGAAGGATGGTGATGAGAAGGTTCTGCTACTTACAGAAAGGAAGTTTAGGAGAAACAAAACCACAAACCTAGGTGGTGGGATGGCTTGATCTGCTTCTGTCTGTGACTCACTTAACAGTCTTAAACACATCTCCCTAAGCCTCCTTCCCCCGGTGGGATTCCTGGGTCTTGTGAGGACCTCATCGGTCCCTCTGGTAAACCCAGGCACAGAGTGGAGCAGCTCTTGTTTTCTCAGGATCTTCCCCTTCACATACAATTAACGCACCCACACGATGCTACTCTTAGAACCCTTCAAATAAATGTTTCCCGGTTCATTCACTACCAGAATCCAAGCTCAGCTTGTTCCCCAGCTTAGGACTGAGTGGTATCTTGGAGGTAGTTTCCACCATAGCCCCCTTCCTCTGCTATAAGGCTCAGTGACACACCAGAGACACCCCCTCCAGCCAGGCTCCTGGAAGGTCTGGATGAAGACTGGGATGCTGAGGCATTGCTCAGCAATGTGGCTTAACTCAAACTTCTATGTGAAACTTCCAACCACTTTCAGCAAGGGGTCACTTCCAGCGTCTTGGGGTGTGAGGGCACTTTGGTTGGTCCCTGCAATATCAGACCCTATAAAGATCCTACAAACATGTTGCAGACTCTTTGAAGATTCTGGCACTTTCAGACATGCTGTTGGGAAATGGTGACACCCATAACCTTCTAGTTCCAGGACAGGGAGCCTTAGCCCAGGGCTATGTTTTCTGAGGGTCCTCAAAGTAAACAGTTCTATGTGCCAGGAGAACCCTAAATCTCATATGGTTCTAAGGGCAGAAAGCCACACACGCACCGGCAAAAAGCAAGAGATTCAAGGAAAAGCTGAGCAAAGACAGACAGGAAAACACACACATGATGAGCCAGCTTGTAGAGCTAGAACTGAGATGGAGAGAGGCACGAGTGGGTAACAGAGTGTGCTCCCCAGAACAGGTGGAGAGAATGCCTTTTTCATGCCCTGAGGATAGGCTGGGTAAGGCTTGTGCTCGACAGTCAAGGACTATTTTTTTCCCCAGGCGTCTACAAGAGACCTTCCTTCTCAGCTCAACTGTGCCCTGCAGTAAGTAATGATGGAGAGAATGTGACTTTGCTCTGCAGCTCTGGAAGCTCATTTGACCTGTGCCTTCTAACGAGGAAGGTAAGGCCCCTGGACACTGGCTCACTGGGGTGCAGAGACAGAGTGGGGCATTCAGGCCAACTTCTCTCTGGGTCTTGGGGCTGGTGATGGGACCTCTAGATGCTGCAGCTCTCTGTCGATGGCTCTGCCTGTGAGTGATCAGCCCTAGATGACCACTGTTACTGGGGGTAGCCCATGCCTGCTGCATGCCCTGTGAAACACTAAATCATATAGCCACGTCTGAGGGACAGCCTGCTGGAGACATGGGAATCTTAGGGATTCCAGACAAAATGAAGCAATGAGAAACACAAAGAGGAAAAGAGAGGTTGAGTATGACAGTGGTGTCAGGGTGTAGGGTGGTAGACAGGGCAGCTCCACACTCTCCACTGCTTCCTGTCTGGAGGCCCACTTTGGGGTCCTACTTATCCAGGTGAGTGAAGGAAGAGGTCAGGACAAACACAGGAGGTGAAGCCAGATACAGTGTGGGGAGATAAGCAGTGGCCTCAGCCTCTAGCCCTTTTCCATCTTCCAGAAGCCCCTCCTGAGCTCTCATCACAGACAGATTTCCCATTTGGAAACCCAGATATTTATCATGCCGGGGGGGGGAGGCAATGTCTCTTGATTATGGGGACTTTCCATCACCAGGCACCTGCTAGTCCTCTCTATACCTTCCCTTCAGGAAAGGAATTGTCCCTCATGGGATTCCAGGGAAGAGACCCCAGGACCCCTATCAGTCACTAGGGAGATGACAGAGTAGAGGAAGTCAGGGGACCAACCCTCCACAGAGAATGGTCCTACTTCAGTGGGGTGAGGGAAACTCTCACTCATCCATTTGCTGTCCTGTTACCTCGGAACCCTAAGAGAACTTGTTAGTCACACACAGAATCTACCCCTGAATGTGGTGTGCAAAGTGGGGCTCTTAGCCTCCAGTGTGAAGTCCCTGGGAAGATGGAATGTCCCTGTGTGAGTGAAGGCTGTGCCACCGCCCAGCTATGTGGCCTTGGGCTAGGCAACCCCTCCCAGGTCCCCAGTTCCCCATCTGCATCGGAGACTGTGGCCAGTGCGGGAATCCACAAGGCCCTTCAGCCTCCAAAGCTCTGGGACAGAGGCCTCGTCCACAGGGAGGAAGGGGTCAGAGTGACCTGAGTCCCTACTCAGGAGCGAGTCTAATCCACTCTCCATCGGGGCCTGTGGGGAAGGGAAGATGAAGAAACGGAGCCTGCACCTGGCTATGTGGGCGCAGTAGATTAAGGGGAGGATGAGGGTTCCTGAGAGTGTGTCATGTGGCAGAGACCCTGCAGCACACTCAGGAAGGGCTCTGGAAGGATCCAAGGAAATTTTCCAAGAAGAGGGCAGAGTAAGTGACAGAGACCCTCAACCATGGATTTCACTGAGGTGCCCATGATGACATAGGGAGAACGGGGGTGTCTGGGCAGGAAGAATATCGTCAGGGTGAAATGAATGGTGATGAGCTTCGTGTCAGAGCTCCTGTGGAGGGAGGGGCCTGGCCCACATGAAAAGGTCTCTGATCCTACCCCAGCCCCCAGCCCCTGTTCTCCAGGATGACACTGTGGGAATTCCATCAGGAGGGGTGTGATAGGGCTGGTCTTCCTGGCTCGATTCACAACACTGGCTGGGGACTGGGAACCCATGGGGAGCCACAGGTGGAAAGGGAGGAGCCTCAGTGAACCCAGCAGGAACAAACATAGGGTCTGACATGATGGAACTCACTTCCTGGAGGCCAAGAAAGACACTTGCGGGACAAAAGGGAAAGAGCGGTGGCTTGCTTAGTTCCATTCACTGACAACCCACAGGAGATGTCCAGTCCTTTTTTGATTTATTATTTTATTTTATTATATTTTATTTTATTTTATTTTATTTTCACATGGAGTTTTGCTCCTATTGGCCAGGCTGGAGTGCAATGGCACGATCTTGACTCACTGCAACCTCCACCTCTCAGGTTCAAGCGATTCTCCTGCCTCAGCCTCCTGCATAGCTGGGATTACAGGCGACTGCCACCACAGCCAGGTAATGTTTGTATTTTTAGTAGAGATGAGGTTTTGCCATCTTGGCCAGGCTGGTCTCAAACTCCTGATCTCATGTGATCCGCCTGTATCAGACTGCCAAAGTGTTGGGATTACAGGCGTGAGCCACCACACCCAGCCTTTTGTATTTTTAGTAGAGATGGGGTTTCACCATGTTGGTCAGGCTGGTCTTAAACTCCTGACCTCAGGTGATCCATCCACCTCGGCCACCCAAAGTGCTGGGAGTACAGATGTTAGCCACCGTACCCAGCGAGAGTTTCAGTGCTCTATCGGATTCCCTGCCTACTCCATGTTGCATGTAATGTTCCACCTCAGGGATGTTTCTCTCCTTTCTGTCTCCTTCCTCTTCTCCTTCTCCTTTTTTCTTTCTAATTTTTATTTTTTTGAGACAGAGCCTTGCTCTGTTACCCAGGCTAGAGTACAGTGGCACGATCCCAGCTCACTGCAACCTCTGCCTCCTGGGTTCAAGAGATTCTCCTGACTCAGCCTCTCAAGTAGCTGGGATTACAGGCACCCGCCATCACACCCAGCTAGTTTTTGTATTTTTAGTAGAGACGAGGTTTCACCATGTTGGCCAGACTGGTCTTGAACTCCTGCCCTCAGGTAATCCACCCGCCTGTGGCCCCCCAAAGTGCTGGGATTACAGGCGTGAGTCACCACTCCCAGCCCTGAATGATCTTTCCTCTTTAGTGTGTTCTCACAACCACCTCTCACTGAGCTTTCTTGTTTTTTGTTTTTGTTTTTGTTTTTGTTTTTGTTTTTGGCAGAGTCTGGCTTTGTTGCCTATGCTGGAGTGCAGTGGTGCAATCTCAGCTCACTGCAACCTCCGTCTCCTGGGTTCAAGCGATTCTCCCACCTCAGCCTCCTGAGTAGCTGGGATTACAGGCACCCACCACCACACCCAGCTAATTTTTGCATTTTTAGTAGACACAGGGTTTCACCATGTTGGTCAGGCTGGTCTCGAACTCCTGACCTTGTGATCTGCCAGCCTCAGCCTCCCAAAGTGCTGGAATTACAGGCATGAGCCACCACTCCCAGCCCTGGATTATCTTTCCTCTTTAGTGTGTTCTCACAACTACCTCTCACTGCTGGGTTTTCTCTCTTTCTTTTTTTTTTTTTTTTTTTTTTTTTTTGAGACAGTCCGGCTTTGTTGCCCAGGCTGGAGTGCAGTGGCGCGATCTCGGCTCACTGCAAGCTCCACCTCCCAGGTTCAAGCGATTCTCCCACCTCAGCCTCCCTAGTAGCTGGGATTACAGGCGCATGCCAGCACACCCAGCTAGTTTTTGTATTTTTAGTAGAGACAGGGGTTTCACCATGTTGGTCAGGCTGGTCTTGAACTCCTGACCTTGTGATCTTCCTGCCTCGGCCTCCCAAAGTGCTGGGATTACAGGTGTAAGCCACTGCACCCAGCCAGCTTTCTCATTCTTATCCCTTAGTTCTCTGCCAGGGAATAAGATAGAAACCATTCCCTCAACCACATTCTAGTCATGGTCCCTATTCTCATGTTTCCACTTCTCTCTCTTTGGTAATAAATCAATTAATTGAGAAACAAGTAGCTAAATGTTCATCTTCTGCTAGTCTGCATCCCCTTATTTTCCCAGAGCCTCCCCTAATGAAACTGACTTTATTTACTGAACGCAGGAAATGGGTCTCTCCAGATCAGGATGACTTTCTGCTGGGAAATATTTGTCTTTGCATCAGTGGGGAAAAAGAAAGCCGATGTCATGAGTGGAGGCTCTGAGAAAATAAGGGCTGTGTTTTCAGTTTAGACCCAGCTAAGTTGGGAGCTGACATAGATATGATGTTGGGTCCACCCTCCACGGGCAGGTTTTCAGACAAAGGATCCCTGGCAATCAGGGGACACCTCAGGTCTGGGCTGAGATGTGTGCAGAGGGCCTGGGTCCTCCTGAGCCCCTGCACTGGGGGGGGAATAAGAGACAGGCCCAGCAAGGGGCTGTCCACTTCCTGTGGGTTCACAGCTGTGGGGACCCAGGCAGGCGGCAGCAGGCTCTGACTTAACCACATCCGTGCATCTGTCTGTCATGGAGGGCCATGTGGTCACCTGTCCCACAGCTGGAGCACGCAGAGCAGGCATCATGGTGTCCATCCTCACTGTTCTTCTGTGCCTCAGTCAGTGGTGGAGAGACGAGGGACAGGAGGGGCACTGGGCTGAGGTGGGGAGGGTCCCACAGCAGCCTTGTTCACCAGAGAGCCTCAGGGCTCCAGTGGCTACTGGTGCTCCAACAGGAAGGGAAGCAGCCACACCTCTGTGTTCCAAATCCCCCACAGGAAACTCTTCTCCATGGCTGAGTCTGGGCCAGAAAGCCCAAGCACTTGCAGGTGAGTCTCTGCTAACCTCCCATGCCTGACCTCACACTCAGCACCTGGACTCTCATCTCAGGGGCTTCTGAACTGAGGGTGAGAAAATCAAGAGGGTCTGTGACCTGAGCTGGGAATGAGGAGCGGGGGAGGTCTGTGGACCCCAGCCTGTGGTTTCTTCCAGGGACCCTCCCCAAACCCAGCCTCTGGGCTGAGCCAGGCTCTGTGATTACCTGGGAGAGCCCCATGACCCTCTGGTGCCAGGGGACCCTGGATACCCAGGGTTACTATCTCACCAAGGAAGGAAACCCCATGACCTGGTACCAACAGAGCCCACCAGAGCCCAGGAACAAGACCAACTTCTTCATCCCATCCATGAGAGAGCACCATGCAGGGAGATACCACTGTCACTATCTCAGCCCTGCAGGCTGGTCAGAGCGCAGCGAGCCCCTGGAGCTGGTGGTGACAGGTAAGAGGACACTCAGGGGTCCCAGCCCCAGGCTCTGCCTGCAGGAAGGGGGTCAGCTCTCAAGGGCATCTCCGTTCTAATAACTCAGCCCTGGGGGATGATGTGGGACGCGTGAGCCCCATTTAAGACAGTGTCTCCTTCTCTCCTAGGAGCCCACAGAAAACCCACTCTCTCAGCCCTGCCGAGCCCTGTGGTGACCTCAGGAGAGAACGTGACCATCCAGTGTAGCTCAAGGGTGGGATTTCACAGGTTCATTTTGATTGAGGAAGGAGAAAACAAGCTCTCCTGGATGCTGGACTCACAGGAACTCTCCAAGGGGCTGTCCCTTGTCCCTGGCCCTGTTCCCTGTGGGCCGTGTGGCTGCCAGTCACCGGTGGATGTTCAGATGCTATGGGCATTACACGAACTTCCCCTGGGTGTGGTCGGAACCCAGTGATACCATGGAGATCCTGGTCTTAGGTATGGATGTCTTCCTCCTTGCCCTATTTATTTTTGAGAACTTACTCTCACGGAGCCCCATGTAGGAGGGTGGAACAAGGGAAGTTTGGGACTCCTGAGCCCAGAGACACTGAGTGTGAGAGACAGTGAGACCTGCAGGGCCAGGAGGGGAGAAGGAAGGGGTGTGGGAGGAACCAGCCCTCCTAGTCCCGACTCTTCTTTCCCTCCAGGCGTGTCTAGGAAGCCCTCCCTCCTGACCCTGCAGGGCCCTGTCGTGGCCCCTGGGGAGAATCTGACCCTCCAGTGTGGCTCTGATGTCGGCTATGACAAATTCACTCTGTACAAGGAGGGGGGACATGACCTCGTCCAGGGCTCTGGCCGGCAGCCCCAGGCTGGGCTCTCCCAGGCCAACTTCACCCTGGGCCCTGTGAGGGTCTCCCACGGGGGCCAGTACAGATGCTACGGTGCACACAACCTCTCCTCCGAGTGGTCGGCCCCCAGTGACCCCCTGAGCATCCTGATCGCAGGTGAGGAGCCCAGCAGGTTCAGTCAGGGACCCAGGCTCCGCACAGGCCCTGCTGGGGGAGCCCAGGTGGTGATGGCCGGGATGAGGGGTGGGGGTCCTAAGGGACGGAGAGACAGACAGAGACAGGGGATGGGCGGGGAGGGGGAGACTCAGAGAAAACAGAGACAGAGACACTGAGGGTCCCAGGGAGAGGCCTGGGGAGGTGTCAGCTCAGAACGAGGTGGGGCAGCCCCTCACCCATCCTTCTTCTCTCCAGGACAGATCCGTGGCAGACCCTCCCTCTCGGTGCAGCCGGGCCCCACGGTGGCCTCAGGAGAGAACGTGACCCTGCTGTGTCAGTCACGGGAGCAGTTGGACACTTTCCTTCTGACCAAGGAGGGGGCAGCCCATCACCCACTGCGTCTGAGATCAGAGCACCAAGCTCAGCAGCACCAGGCTGAATTCCCCATGAGTCCTGTGACCTCAGCCCACGCGGGGACCTACAGGTGCTACAGCTCACGCAGATTCTTCCCCTACCTGCTGTCTCACCCCAGTGACCCCCTGGAGCTCGTGGTCTCAGGTGAGGCCGCTGACCCTGTCCTCTCTGAGCTCAAACCTCAGCTCAGGCCCTGCCCCCAGGAGAGCTCAGGACGCTAAGGAAAGAGGGGAGTAAAGGGGGAGGGTCGGCAGGGGAGGGCCCAGCCCATGAGAGGGTGGAAATAGTCAGGGACCTCCTAATCCTGGGCTCCCACCCCAGAGACCTCAGATGGGGCTAAAGGCCAGGGAGGGCTGAAATGAGATATGGAGAAACCTTGGAGGAATCATGCTTAGGCTGAGGGTAGAAGATGGAGGCCCCACCCACTCCCCACCTGGGCTCCCCTGGCGGCCCCAAAATACTCAGTGCATACCTGAGACGAAGGGGAGATCATGCACCTGCTCACTGCAGCAATGCAGGCAAATTATTCAACAGCAAACCTCGTGTGCAATTCCTTTCTGTCCTTTATTTTTTATGTCCACATATCTAGTTTCTCTTTCTGTTTCTGAAGATTTCAAAGCAATGCTGGCATTTATAATTTACACATTTAATTTGTTAGGTAGCGTTATGATGTAAAATAACTGTGCTCTGATTTTCTTTGGGATTAAATTAAATATGTGCATTCATGATGGAGAATAACTTCTCATTAATAATGTCTTTGTATCCAATACATTTAAAATTAAACTTTATACAGTTAGCAGATGCTTGAAGTTGTATTCATAAAAATTGTGGACATTGTGAATTTTAAGCATTGTTTTACTACTTGAATAATTTGAAAGTCTTTGATTCCTTTCTATTTTCTAAAATTAGTTACGTATGGATGAGAAAGCTATTGGTTTGGGTATGCTAATTTTAGTTCCTATTAACTTACCACAGACACACTCCCTTTCAATCCTTTCCGAAATGATCTCTTCTGATTTATTGATAATAATTACATTAACCACAAGAAAATGGAGGACAAACTTGTTTGTTTCTAAATTATATAATACTCTTCTCACTTCAAATATATATGTATGTGTTTATATATACTCACACACTATTATATATCTTATAATATATATTATGTATTATATATTTATATATACACTATTATATATCTTATATATTATGTATTATATATTTATATATACCCACACATTATTATATCTTATAATATATATTATGTATTATATATTTATATATACCCACACATTATTATATCTTATAATATATATTATGTATTATATATTTATATATGCACTATTATATATCTTATATATTATGTATTATATATTTATATTACCCACACATTATTATATCTTATAATATATATTATGTATTATATATTTATATATACACACACTATTATATATCTTATTATATATTATGTATTATATATTTATATATACTATTATATATCTTATAATATATAATGTATTATATATTTATATATACACACACTATTATATATCTTATATATTATGTATTATATATTTATATATACATACTATTATATATCTTATAATATATTATGTATTATATATTTATATATATACACTATTATATATCTTATTATATATTATATATTTATATATGCACACACTATTACATATCTTATTATATATTTATATGTATACACACACTATTATATATCTTATTATATATTATGTACTATATATTTATATATACTATTATATATCTTATAATATATAATGTATTATATATTTATATATACACACACTATTATATATCTTATATATTATGTATTATATATTTATATATACATACTATTATATATCTTATAATATATTATGTATTATATATTTATATATATACACTATTATATATCTTATTATATATTATATATTTATATATGCACACACTATTACATATCTTATTATATATTTATATGTATACACACACTATTATATATCTTATTATATATTATGTACTATATATTTATATATACTATTATATATCTTATAATATATAATGTATTATATATTTATATATACACACACTATTATATATCTTATATATTATGTATTATATATTTATATATACATACTATTATATATCTTATAATATATTATGTATTATATATTTATATATACACACTATTATATATCTTATTATATATTATATATTTATATATGCACACACTATTACATATCTTATTATATATTTATATGTATACACACACTATTATATATCTTATATATTATATATTTATATATACTCACACTATATCTTATAATACATATTATGCATACACATATGCATAATACATATTATCTATACACATATGCATAATACATATTATGTATACACATATGCATAACACATATTATGTATACACACATATTTACACCTATGCATATATGTATGTATGTATGCGAATGTACCTCTGCCACGGCAGGGAAAGGTTCTATCACACAACTACAGAGCAGTTAGGAGAAGTGTAGACACAAAGGAATGCAGCAACTGAGGGACATGTTGGCTTAAGTCTCTTCAACTCCTCACACACCTCCCCCTTTTTTGGTTGATTCTCAGGAGCAGCTGAGACCCTCAGCCCATCGCAAAACAAGACAGACTCCAAGACTGGTGTGTAAGGAGATGCTCTCGGTTATGGGGCTGGCACAGAGGGTCAGGTCCTGTGAAGGGGAGGTGGGTGCCCTGGGTGGACATCCAGGGGTCCCGGGTGATGTTGATCTGCCCTGACCTCTGAGACCTCTTGGTCCACCATCCCCAGCCTCACACCCCCAGGATTACACAGTGGAGAATCTCATCCGCGTGGCTGTGGCTGGCTTGGTCCTGGTGGTCCTCGGGATTCTGCTGCTTTAGGACTGGCACAGCTAGAGAAGTCCCCAAGATGCAGCAAGGAGGTAAATACATGAGAGAACAATGCACCCTTCAGAGTGCCAGAGCCTTGGCAATGAATCTGATAGTCCTAGGAGGTTCTGGAAGAAAGTCTGGACCATCATTCGGGAAACCGTCTACTGAGAAAGTCGAGAAGGGGAGGCTTGGGTCAGGTTCAGGAAGATGTCTGGGTGCCTGTAGAGAACGCTTCCTCCATTAAACTTCCATTAAATGGCAGTGCTTTCAGTCCTGCTGTTGTGGATCCTCCGTGTCTGCCCCTCCCTTCCTTTCGCTCTCTGTGATGTGAAGGCACGTCCCCCATGGTGGGTTTGCATCCACACCCCTGCGATCACGTGCTCTGGTCCACTGTCATGTAATACATTTGTCTTTGTTTCCAACTACCGCATTCTCTAAAGTGAACTATTGATTCTCCATCTTTTCAGTTCTGAGCATAGATCTGGATTAAATAACTGGAATAGGTGGGCAGATTTGTATTTGGGACTTTGAAACATGAGTCTGAGGCCAGGCACAGTGGCTCACACCTGTAATCCCAGCACTTTGGGAGGCTGAGGTGGGCGGATCACTTGAGGTCAGAAGTTCGAGACCAACCTGGCCAACATGGTGAAACCCTGTCTCTACTAAAAGATACAAAAATTAGCTGGGTGTGGCAGTGAGCACCTGTAATCCCAGCTGCTCAGGAAGCTGAGGCGGGAGAATAGCTTGAACCCGGGAGGCGGAGGTTGCAGTGAGCCAAGATCTTGCCACTGCACTCCAGCCTGGGCAACAGAGCAAGACTCCATCTCCAAAAAAAAAAAAAAAAAGGGAAATATGAGTCTGAAATGATGCCCTAGCACCCTCTCTGGACCCTGAATTCCCTTCACTCTTCATCGGATGATACCTGTGTACTTTGTCCAGAAATATCATCTCTCAGAATGAGCACACTAACGCTCGAAGGCTCAGCCTCATGGTATTCTGTTAAACTGGCTCTCTGAAAAAATTATTTTCTTAAGAAAACTCTGAACATATAAAGCCCCAGATTTATGGTATTTGCTGATTAGTGTGGTATAAATACGTCCTTTATGGCCAACTTCAGGGTGCCCATATGACGCCATTGAATGCACAGTTGGGAAGTAGTCAAAAGAATTGTCGTTCACACGAGTATGAACCAGTTGTAAAGTTTATTTAAAGGTTATAATAATTTCTGCTTCATTCTTATGGTGTAGTTTCAGTAAAATTGTAATGTCAAAAATCATAGCACAATGGAGGGAAAAGAAAAAAATAGGCCGGGTGTGGTGGCTCATGCCTGTAATCCCAACACTTTGGGAGGCCGAGGCAGGAGGATCACCTGAGGTCAGGAGTTCGAGACCAGCCTGGCCAACATGGTGAAACGCTGTCTCTACTAAAAATACAAAAATTAGCCAGACATGGTGGCGCCTGCCTGTAATCCCAGCTACTTGGGAGGCCAAGGCACGAGAATCGCATGAACCCAGGAGGCGGAGGTTGCAGTGAGCCGAGATCACTACAGCCTGGGTGATAGAGCAAGACTCAGTCTCAAGAAAAGAAAAAAGTAGCAAAATCATTTTTTGGAAAGAATATTGAACATGTAGAATTTTAGTACATTAATAGTAAGAGTACAAATTGCTTTAATCAATTAAGGAAGTGTATTGGAATTATCTAGTTAAAAAGAGGAGGCACATGGCTGTGACCCTTCTTAATTATGTACTTAATTATGTACCCTAGAGATAAATGTCTACTTATGTGTCATGATACACTCACAACTGTTATAGGAATGCTGTTCCTATTAGCCAAAGCTATAAAATACCAAAGTCCACCTACGAAAAAAATAAACATAGTGTGGTAAATAGACTCAGTGGAATATTACAAGGTAGTAAAATGCATAAATGAAAATAACAAACAGCACCATACTTCAATTTTCAAGCATAAAGTCAAGTAAATGAAGTATTATTTGAAAATGTGTGCATGGTTATTTCATTACATAAAGGTCAAAAGGAGGGTACATTTATTATTTAGGAAAACACACCTAAGATATCTTTGTAAAATCTGTAAAATCAATAGTACTGTTTCCCCTCTTTCATTCCTTATCTTGAAAATGCTTGTCTCTTTTTCTGCCATGGCTTTCTACCTTGCTTGATATATTACAATTTTGTAACCTGCTTATTTCATCATATGTCATAAGTTCACATGTATATCCCATGAATTATTGAGGGTCTTATTCATTTCAAGTGGCATTTAGGTTTTTAAAAATATCTTTTGGCGACCAGGTGCAGTGGCTCATGCCTGTAATCCCAGCACTTTGGGAAGCCAAGGCAGGTGGATCACGAGTTCAAGAGACAGAGATCATCCTGGCGAACATGGTGAAACCCCGTCTCTACTAAAAATACAAAAAAAAAAAAAAAAATAGCTGGGCATGGTAGAGGGTGCCTGTAGTCCCAGCTTCTCAGGAGGCTGAGGCGGGAGAATGGCATGAACCCGAGAGACGGAGGTTGCAGTGAGCCGAGATCGTGCCACTGCACTCCAGCCTGGCAACAGAGTGAGACTCTGTCTCAAAAAAAAAAAAAAAAGAAAGAAAGAAAGGAAGAAAAAAAAATCTTCTGGCATTAACTATTAAGAAATTGCACTATAAAAAGAGAATATAATGCATAAGACGGCAATTTGAAAAGATTCAGATATAATTTTTTCTTATCTAGTAAATACTTAGTAATTTGTCTAATGCATGCCTTAAATACATACCACTTTATGCAGAGGTTGCCATGAGCCGAGATCGCGCCGTTGCACTCTAGCCTGGGTGGCAGAGCAAGACTCCATCTCAAAAAAAAAAAAGAAAATCTCACAGAAGGAGACCCAGAGCTTCCAGCCTCGCCCAGAGTCTTGGCTCACTCCCTGTGTGTGTGGACCCTAGGGAGCCTCTTCTGTTCCCCACAGAGGTGGAAACTTCCTCCTTAATAACCCCTTGATGGTCCCAGGCACTGGTGACCACTGAGCTTTGCTCTCTCTTTTTTCTTATGGTTCCCTGTCTACTTCCAGGGCTATCACTTTACTTTTTGTGCATTAGACCATGAATAATGTTTTAGAAACATTCTATCAAATTTCTCAGTGCTAGGAACAACTGAGGTTTTTGATTGGGTGCCTCAAATGTCTACCCTTACTGTGGAGTCCGACAACAGGATTCTAACAAGTCCCAACCCCTTCATGCCTTAACCTGGTCTGGAAATAAATTATGTTTAAGCCATCCCATACCCCAGCCACATCAAGCCCCACAACCACTCTGAGAAGTGAGATTTATAGCAAAATGCTCCAAACAAGGTAACTAAGGTTCAGACAAGGGATGTTAATGTGTCCATTTACATAAACAAAAAATGGTAGATGATCAGCTTTCCCTTTGAAATCAGAGTACTAATCTGACTCATTGTTCCCTGAATTTTAGAGGCAGGACCTCAGGAGGAGCTAAGAATCCTACCCCAGGAAAATTACCAATATCAGAAAGGAAACAATGACATCAGTACAGATCCTACAGAATTCAAAAGATTCTAAGTGGACATTATGAAGACATTATTCAGCTTAGATGAAGTGGTCACATATCACAAGAAAACAAACTGTCTAAAACAATCTCTGAAATACCTAGACATTCCCTGAATCATTGAGTTATTAAATAAAATACATTTTAAAATTAAACTCTTTTCAGGAAATAAACTTCAATGTCCCCTAGTGCACTCTCCAAAACATGTAGATGGGAATAAATACTGTTCTGAAAGACATTTCCCTGGAATTACAACCATTCAATATATTTTAAAAGGCAATCATAAAAATATAAAAAGGATATATCAGGAGAAGAAATGTAAATGGCCTAAATTCCCCACATAAAAGGCATAGAGTGGCAACGTGGATAAAAAGCCAAGAGCCAACTGCCTGCTGTCTTCAAGAGACCCATCTCACATGTAATGACACCCACAGGCTCAAAGTAAAAGGATGAAGAAATATTTACTAGGCAACCAGGAAACAAAAAAAAGGAAGGCATTCCTATTCTTATATCACATGAAACACACTTTAAATCAACAGCAATCAGGAAGGACAAAGAAGGGCATTACAAAATGATAAAGGGTTCAATTTGACAGAAGACTTAACTATTCTAAATATATATGCACCCAAATTTGGAGCACCCCGATTCATAAAACAAGTTATTCTTCACCTATGAAAAGAGTTAGACAGCCACACAATAATAGTAAGGGACTTCAGTATCCCACTAACAACGTCAGATGAATCACTAAAACAGAAAACTAACAAAGAAATTCTGGTCTTAAAGACAACACTTGACCAATTGGACCTCATAGACATCTACAGAGTACTCCACCCAACAACTGCAGAATATAGATTCTTCTTATCTGCACACACAAAAAACATATCATATTCTAAGACTGGCCACAAAGCAAGTCTCAATAAATTCAAAGAATCAAAATCATAACAAGGCACACAATAAAAATAGAAAAAAATACCAAGATGATCTCTCAAAACTACAGAAAAACATGGAAATTTAACAACTTGTTTCTGAATGAATATTAAGAGCCATCTATGACAAATCCACAGCCAACATCATATTGAATGGTCAAAAGCTGGAACTGTACCCCTTGAGAACTCTTGGGTGAACAATGAAATTAAAGCAGAAATCACAAAACATTATTTAAAATTAATAAAAATAGAAACAAACTTACCAAAACCTTTGGGATGCAGTTAAAGCAGTGATAAGAGGAAAATTTATAGCAATACATGCCTCATCAGAAGTTTAGAAAGATCTCAAATTAGTGACTTAACACTGCATCTAGAGGAACTATTAAAAAAAAGGAACAGTCCAAACCCAAGGCCAGCAAAAGATGAGAAATAACTAAAGTCAGAGAGAACTGAATAAATTGAGACCAAAAAGTCCATACAAGAGATAAATAAAACCAAGAGTTTTTCTTTGAAAAAAAATAAACAAAATTCATAGACTGTTAGCTAGATTAACAAAGAAAAAGAGAAAAGATCCAAATAAACACAAATAGAACTGACAAAACAATGTTACGAACAATCCCACAGAAATAGAAAAGATCGTCAAAGACTATTATGAACACCTCTATACAAACAAGCTAGAAAACCTAGAAGAAATGGATAAATTCCTGGTAACACAAAATTTATCATATTTCAACCAGGAAGAAAGTGAAAACCTGAACAGACCAATAACAAGTTCAGAAATTTAATCAGTAATAAAAACCCTACTAACTAAAAATAGCCCAGGACCAGATGGATTCACAGCCAAAATCCAACAGCCATACAAAGAAGAACTGATACCGATCTTACTGAAACTTTTGGAAAAAATCAAGGAGTGGGGGCTTCTTCCTAACTCATTCTATGAAGCCATCATCACCATGATACCAACATCTGTCAGAGACATAATGAAAAAAAGAAAACTACAACTAAATATCCTTAATGAACATAGACATAAAATCCTCAACAAAATGCTAGCAAATTGAATCTGTCAGTGCATCAAAAGTTAATTCACATGATCAAGTAAGCTTTATTTTTGGGATGCAAGGTTGGTTCAACCTACAAAGTCAACGAATGTGATTCACCTCATAAACATAATTAAAAACAAAAACTATATGATCATCTCAATAGATGCAGAAAAAGCTTTCTGTAAAATCCAACATCCCTTCATGATAAAAACTGTCAATAGGCATCAAAGGAACATACCTCAAAATATTAAGAGCCATCTATGACAAACCCACAGCCAACATCATATTGATGGGCAAAAGCTGGAACCATACCCCTTGAGAACCGAAACAAGACCAGGATGACCACTCCCGCCATTTTAATTCAACATGGTACTGGAAGTCCTAGCCAAAGCAATCAGGCAAGAGAAGGAAATAAAAGGCATTAAAATTGGAAAAGAAGTAGTGATACTGTCTCTCTTTGCTGATGAAATAATTTTATACATAGAAAACCCTAAAGACTCTGTCAGAAGGCTCCTGAAACTGATAAACAAATTCAATAAAGTTTCGGGATTAAAAAAATGTACACAAATTAGTAACATTTCTATGCACCACTAACATTCTAGCTGAGAACTAAATCAAGAACACAATTCCATTTACACTAGCCACAAAGAAAATAAAATACCTAGGAATCCATCTAACCAAGAAGGTGAAAATTCTCTACAAGGAGAACTACAAAACACTTCTGAAAGAAATAAGAAATGATACAAACAAATGGAAGAATATTCCATGCTCATGAATTAGGAGAACAAATAGTTAAAATCGCCATACTTCCAAAAACAAATTGCAGACTCAATGCTATCCATTTCAAAATGCAATGTCATTTTTCACGAAATTATAAAAATTTATTCTAAAATGTATTTGGCACCAAAAAAAGAGCCTGAATACACATAGGAATCCTAAGCACAAAGAACAAAGCCCAGGCATCACATTACCCAACTTCAAACTATACTACAATGCTATAGTAACCCAAACAGCATGATACTACTACAAAAACAGACACATAGACCAATGAGACAGAATAGAGAACCCAGAAATGAGGCTACATACCTACAATCATCTTTGAAAAAATTGACAAAAACAAGCAATGTGGAAAGTACCCTTTCTTCAATAAATAGTTCTGGGATAACTGACTACTCATATGCAAAATAATAGAACTGGACCCCTAACTCTCACTATATACAAAAATTAACCCAAGATAGTTTAAAGATTTAAATGTAAAACCTCAAAATATTAAAATTCTAGAAGAAAACCTAGGAAATATCCTTCTCAAGATAGACTTTGGCAAAGAATTTATGGCTAACTCCCCAAAACCAATTGTGACAAAGACAGAAATTGGGACCTAACTCAACTGAAGAGCTTCTGCACAGCAAACGAAAGTATCAACAGAGTAAACAGATAACCTACAGACTGGGAGAAAATATTTGCAAACTATGCATCTGACAAAGTTCTAATATCCAGAATCTATAAGGAATGTAAACAAATCAACAAGCAGAAAACCAAAAAACCTCAATTAAGTATGACATGAACAGACACTTCTCAAAAGAAGATGTACACATGGCCAAAAAACATATGAACAAATGCTTATTATCAGTAATCATCAGAGAAATGCAAATTAAAACCACAGTGAGATACCATCTCACAACAATCAGAGAAGCAGAAGCAATTACTAAAAAGTTTTTTGTTTTTTTTAATAACAGATGCTGACAAGATTGTGGAGAAAAGGGAACACTTATACACTCTTGGTGGGAATGTTAACTAGTTCAGCCAATGTGATAAGCAGTTTGGAGACTTCTCAAATAACTTAAAATAGAACTACTATTCAATCAAGCAATCCCACTACTGGGTATATACCAAAAGGAAGGTAATTAACTATGTCAAAAAGACACATGCACTAGTATATTCATTGCTGTGCAATTCAGAATAGCAAAGATTTGCAGTCAACCTAAGTGCTCACCAACAGTGGATTAGTTAAAGAAAATGTGCTACATATACACATGGAACATTACATGGCCATAAAAAATAATGAAATCATGTCCTTTGCAGCAACATGAATGTAGCAGGAGGTCAATCTCCTAAGTGAACTAACCCAGGAACAGAAAACCAAATACCACATGTTATCACTTATAACTGAGAACCAAACATTGAATACACATGAACATAAAGATGGAAACAACAGATACCGAGGACTACAGATGGGGGGAGGAGTAGGGAGGTATAGGCTGAAGAAACACCTGTTGGATTCTATGCTCATTGCCTGGGTGATGGCATTGTTGGAACCACAAACCTCAGAGTCACACAATATGCCTATGTAACAAACCTGCATGCATACCTTTAATCTACAGTAAAGGTTGAAGTTATTTAAAAATAGGAAGAAGAATTACCCTATACCTAAAGCTAAGATTTTTCCCTTTGAATATTCGTTTCTTCATCACTGTAGATAAGCAGGGAAAGAAAAATTATTATACTATACTAGCCTTTTATGTGACCATGAGGATTTGGGGTAGGTAGGTGGACAGCTTAGATAATTCACCAGGATATTGATACAGGCTCCATGGCTGGAAATAACCAAGGATGAGTGCTGTGTTTTGAGTGGTCTCCCCCAGAAACGTTTGTTGAAATCCTAACCCCTGGTATGTATGAATGTGAATTCATATTATATAAAAAGGAATAAATAGCCTGAGCACAGTGGCTCACACCTGTAATCCCAGCACTTTGGGAGGCCAAAGCAGGTGGATCATTTGAGGTCAGGAGTTCTGGCCAATATGGCAAAACTTCATCTCTACAAAAAAAAAATACAAAAAAAAAAATTGGCTGGGTATGGTGGCGCATGCCTGTAGTCCCAGCTACTCAGGAGGCTGAGGCAGGAATTGCTGAAACCTGGAAGGCAGAGGTTGCAGTGAGCCAAGATCATGCCACTGCACTCCAGCCTGGGTGAGACGGCAAGATATTCTGTCAAAAATAAATAAATAAAAAACAGAAGAAGAAATACAAGAATGACAGCAAACTTTGTATTCAAAACTATGAAAGTAAGAAATAGGTGGACCAACATTTTTAAAGTGCTACAAGAAAATATTTCAAACTAGAATCTTTCAACCTGAAAAGGAAAACATTTTCCTGCAATAAAGGTGCCATTAAAAATGTCTCACAATTTATTACATGAAGCATTGTTCTACAATAAATGTTAAGCTCTTGAAGCAAAGATTAATGATACCATTTAGTAACTTGAAATTCAAAAAAGTGGAAGTATCCCAAGAGGCAAATACGTGTGCAATTATTAAATGTTTCATATCAACACCCAACCTTATGCTGTCTACATAAGCTGCACTTCAAATACTAATCCACAAGATGTAAATATTGAAAGAATGACATTACCTTGTCATGATAATGCCCAGTGCAAAATATGCTTCTAGTCAGTTGTATACATAGAATAGGTAAATGTTTGTAATAAAAAGTATTCCTCAATAGAAGTTTCTTAACTCAAAGAATGAAATATTTCACCATGCACATACAAAGAAGAGATATATGGAGATATGAAGAGGAGTACTTCATAATGACAAAGAGGCAAATTCATAAATAAGACATAATCATCCTAAATGCCTACACACTTAAAGCTGGAACCTCAAAACACATTAAATTAAAGGCATAATTCAAAACATAATCAATCACATCCAAATTGCAGCTAGAGATAGCAACATTCACCTCACTTCCAGAACAAGTACACAGAAAATTATTAAGCATATGAAAGACTTGAAAAACATTTGTGTAGGCGGCGGGTGCATAAGGTTGGGTGTTGATATGAAACATTTAATAATTTCAATAATCCTAGCACTTTGGGAGGCCAAAATGGGAGGATCACTTGAGGCCAGGAGTTTGAGACCAGCCTGGGCACCATAGTGAGACCCCGTCTCTATTTTTTTTAAATAAAGAAAAACATTTGAATGATTTTTTTCTTAACTGACATTTAGAAAACATCCACCTCAAATCTTCCTAATCCACAAACTTGTCTAGCACCCCTGGAACATTCACCAAAATAAATTTTTAAATGCTGAATCATAGGTAATATGATAGATGAAACAGTTGAATTAAATTATAAATGTACAACAAGGAAATGCTGGGGAAATTATCAAATATTTTAAAATTAATAAACACACATAGCAATAAACAATGAGTGGAAGAAAAACATTTCAAAGAAAGGTGGAAAATATTTTGTATCAATTAAAAATGAAAACACATCTCGGCAAATGACTGGGGATACAGATAGAACAGCGTTAAGGGACAATAAGCCTCAAATGTCTGTGTTAGAAAAGAAGGAAGAGCTGAGTAAATAGGTAACTTTCACTTGCAGAAATACTACACATCAGCAAATTAATTCCAAAGTAACGTCGAGGAAAAACATAAAATGGCAAGCAAATATATACGTGCATATGTACATACATTCATAAATGACAAACAGGACAGAAAAATCAGTGACATCAATTTTGTTCCTTAGAAGAAACAGGAAAATTGACCCCAAAAAACTTTCCAGGCCACATTTGGTCATGATGGAAATATTTTGGCACTTCCTGGTTAAGCTCAACACCAACTTGCACCCAAAACCAATAATTTCATTTCTAGGTAAATATGTCTAATTAATTCAGCATATGTATGCAAGGGATCACACAGAAACACGATTATCAAGGCCCGAGTTATAAAAGAGAAAATCCGGAAACAACACAAATGTCCATGATAAAAAGAATGGATAATTACATGTTGATAAAGTTATGCATGGACTATTAAACTGCAATCCAAAAGAATAAAATAGAGCTATAAAATTCAATATGTATATGGTGTCATAGAAACACAAATGTGAGAAAAAGAAAGAAAAATACAAAATTTATATTTTTTAAAATTTGAAACAACTATATATGTGAGTGCTTAGGGTGTGTGTGTGTGTGTGTGTGTGTGTGTATAACCATATGTATATAAATGCACACATACGCACACATATAGAATGTCCCGGCCAGGCATGGTGGCTCACACCTGTAATCTCAGCACTTTGGGAGGCTGAAGTAGACAGATCACTTGAGGTTAGGAGTTCAAGACCAGCCTGGCCAACATGGAGAAACCTCCTCTCTACTAAAAGTACAAAAATTAGGTGGGCGTGGTGGTGGGTGCCTGTAAATCCAGCTACTTAGGAGGCTGAGGCACGAGAATTGCGTGAACCTGGGAGGTGGAGGCTGCAATGAGCCGAGGTCTCACCACTGCATTCCAAACTGGGTGACGAAGTGAGATTGCATCTCAAAAAAAAAAAAAGTTCTAAAAGTTGTGACTTGGGTGTGGCAGATTGTGACATACTGCCAGCTGCTAGAAATGCTGGGGCAGGAGGATTGCTTGAACTCTGAAGTCAAAGAACAGCCTGGGGAAAATAGCACATGAAGAAGAGTTTGAATCTCAGATAAAAACAACAAAAATACATCAAAAGTCTTTAATGTAAGCCAAGCATTCAGTCATCTCCTGTATGAGAGATTGGATCTGAGACGTGTTTTGAGTTGGTTATAGTGAAGGATGCAAGGTGTCAATTCTAGTTGGAACAATTTCCAGGAAGCCATGTTCTGCTCTTGACCAAACAGCCACTGGGCCTCATGCAAGGTAGAAATAGCCTGCATACGTCATCCTCCCATGATGTGGTCAGCATGTAAACTGCATGAGCCCCTCACAACATCCTGTGTGCTGCTGAACTGAGCTGGGGCGCAGCCGCCTGTCTGCACCGGCAGCACCATGTCGCTCATGGTCGTCAGCATGGCGTGTGTTGGTGAGTCCTGGAAGGGAATCGAGGGAGGGAGCGGTGGGGTGGAGATCTGGGCCTGGAGTGGAGATATGGGCCTGGAGTGGAGATATGGGCCTGGAGTGGAGATATAGGCCTGGAGTGGAGATATGGGCCTGGGGTGGAGATATGGGCCTGGAGTGGAGATATGGGCCTGGAACTGTAGATATGGGCCTGAAGTAGAGATATGGGCCTGGAGTAGAGATATGGGCCTGGAACTGTAGATATGGGCCTGGAGTGGAGATATTGGCTTGGAGTGCAGATATGGACCTGGAATTGAGATACGGGCCTGGAGGTGGAGATATGGGCCTAGAGTGGAGATATGGGCCTGGAGGTGGAGATATGGGCCTGGAACTGTAGATATGGGCCTGGAGTAGAGATATGGGCCTGGAGTGGAGATGTTGGCTTGGAGTGCAGATATGGGCCTGGAATGGAGACACGGGCCTGGAGGTGGAGATACAGGCCTGGAGGTGGAGATATGGGCCTGGAGTGTAGATATGGGCCTGGAGTAGAGATATAGGACAGAGGTGGAGATATAGGCCTGGAGTGGAGATATGGGCCTGGAGTAGAGATATAGGACGGAAGTGGAGATATGGGCCTGGAGTGGAGATATGGGCCTGGAGGTGATGTACAGATGGATCATCCATCATGATCTTTCTTTCCAGGGTTCTTCTTGCTGGAGGGGCCCTGGCCACATGTGGGTGAGTCCTTCCCCCAAACCTTAGGTTGTCATCTCCCCACATAAGATGATGTTCCTGAAACGGGAGGCAGGCGACACAGGGGGTTGACTGATGGGCTGACCATGGGAAGCCATGTGGGAATCTCTCATGAACTAGGAAAAGGAAGCCAGGGGAAGCTTCGCCACAGTTCTGTCCTAGCCCTCCCCGGCCTTTCTTTCCCTTGGCTGAGTCTGTGGGGACCCAGGGGGAGACTGAAGTGCTCAAAGGAGTGGTGTGCAGGGAGGAAGTGGTGTCACCGGCAGAGGAAGGGAGAGAAGCAGTGCAAGGAACAACAGGCCTCTGAGGACAAGAGCATAACTCACACCCTCCAGCGTTTCCATGACGGTAGGGGCTGCAATGTGGCTGCTGTCATTCTACCTAAGAGGTGGGGGAACCACAGTCATGACCCTGACATTCCAGATCTTCTAATAGGGGCTCAGTTGTTTATTATGGTTCATGCATTAGCTGATCATGCCCTCCATCCTGTGTCTACCTTGTGTTCTTTTATGTAAGTAATTTTGCAGTGTTAAAATCTAGTAAGAGTCGCTTCTTCAGCACCTGCTCAAAGTTCTCAGCTGACACTTGCTGTAGGGAGACGCCATGTCTATGCGGGATGGGTCCTTCCTGTAGCCCTGGGCACCCAGGTGTGGTAGGAGCCTTAGAAACGTGGAAATGGGAGAATCTTCTGAGCACAGGGAGGGAGGGGCGGCTCCACATCCTCCTCTCTAAGGTAGTGCCTCCTTCTCCCCCAGGTGGTCAGGACAAGCCCTTCCTCTCTGCCTGGCCCGGCACTGTGGTGTCTGAAGGACAACATGTGACTCTTCAGTGTCGCTCTCGTCTTGGGTTTAACGAATTCAGTCTGTCCAAAGAAGACGGGATGCCTGTCCCTGAGCTCTACAACAGAATATTCCGGAACAGCTTTCTCATGGGCCCTGTGACCCCAGCACATGCAGGGACCTACAGATGTTGCAGTTCACACCCACACTCCCCCACTGGGTGGTCGGCACCCAGCAACCCTGTGGTGATCATGGTCACAGGTCAGAGGCTTTCTGTCTGGGCTTCTCACTGTCCCACCTCCTGAATCCCAGAGCTTCTGGTGGGGGTGTCCATCAGGGTCCAATCATCCAGGCCCAGACTGTATTTGGGGTAAAGGGGGATTCAGTACAGAGAAATAGTTGCTGTGGTGGGAAGAATAATTGTCCCCAGTGATGGCTACATGGTAATCCATGAACCCTGTGACTATTTATGTCATAGGGCAGGGGACTGAAGGGGAAGATGGAGCTCAGGTTGTTGATGGGTTGACCTTGCGATGGGGAGACAGCCTGGACTGTCCTGCTGTGCTCAGAGTAATCACAAGGGTCCTCATGAGAGGAGGAGGAAGAGGAAAGTGGGGTTAGAGCAACGTCGTGGGAGGGAGACTCCATCAGCCACAGCGGGCTTTGAAGATGGGGGAAGGCCATGAGCCACAAAGGCAGTTGGCCTCTAAGGGCTGGAGAAGTCAAGGGAACTGATTCTTCCCTGAGTCTCCAGAGGAAACACAGCCCTGTAGATGCCTTGATTTTAGCCCAGAGAGAACTGGGTCCGATTTCTGTTCTCCAGAAGTGGAAGGGGTCATTGTATTCTCTCCTGCCCCATGTTTGTGACAATTTTCTCCAGCAGCAACAGGAAACCAACACAGGAACCCAGGTGAAGCACAAGTTAAGAAACCAAACAAGGAGAAGGTTGGCTACACTGATTTTAGCATGGGTGGGATACTGATGCTACCACCAGGCTCGATCCACATAGGGAGGGGTTGATGCTCCTGGAACCAGCACCAGGGGCCACCCTATGGAAGCTGGGGCCATGGAGAAGGCACAGACATGACAGGAGAGGCTCCCAATCCCCATCAGGAACAGGGACACTGATGCCTGCCTTACTGATGAGTTCGTACCTCCTGCCAGCCTTTCCAATCTGTCCAAAAGAGATTGATTCAGGCTGCTAAGAGCCTGGACATGCAGCCTGTCGTGGTTCCTCTTCCACCCCCACATAAACACCAGGAAAGAGATTAGTGGGAAACAGATACAACAGCATAAGAGGTGACACTGAGCACAGTGGGAAGGGAATCAGGGCTACTAGAGACAGAGAGACAGGGAAGAGGGAGGGAGACAGATGGAGGGACCTGCAACAGGGGTTATGGGCACAAAAGAACACGGAGACACAGAGAGGAAGGAGAGAGATAGACACCATGGAGGGGAAGCCTCACTTATTTCAGGTCCCATGAATGGGATGAGAAAGGGAGACGCCTTCTGAACTCACAACCTCTCTTCTTAGGAGTCCACAGAAAACCTTCCCTCCTGGCCCACCCAGGTCCCCTGGTGAAATCGGGAGAGACGGTCATCCTGCAATGTTGGTCAGATGTCAGGTTTGAGCGCTTCCTTCTGCACAGAGAGGGGATCACTGAGGACCCCTTGCGCCTCATTGGACAGCTCCACGATGCGGGTTCCCAGGTCAACTATTCCATGGGTCCCATGACACCTGCCCTTGCAGGGACCTACAGATGCTTTGGTTCTGTCACTCACTTACCCTATGAGTTGTCGGCTCCCAGTGACCCTCTGGACATCGTGGTCGTAGGTGAGAGAATACAGACCTGCCTCTCACCCTTGCTGGGAGATGGAGTGAATGATCTAGGACTGGAAGCCCCAGGTGGTCATGAGGAAGATGAGTGTGGGGTTCCTATGGAGAGAAAGTGACTTGGTGAGGTCTGTACCAACAAAGGCAGAGAAACAGGAGACACAAGTACAGACCTCATGTCATAACATAGAAGCCAGACACAGGGGCCATACAAGGTGTTAGAAAAAGAGATAAAGAGGTAAAGAAGACACAGAGAGACAGATATATCCCAGAGAGAGGTGTCCTTCTATGCTGACTTTGTTCAGAGACCAGGCACAGGTTAGAAGGTTCCATTCTGTTTTACCTCTACAAAGTGTTCTCTCCCAGGAGAACCCAAAGAGACACATCTATCTGGCCTGAGTTGGGCCGTGTGGCCCCAGGCTGGTGGCACCTACAGATGCTGTGTTTATTCTTAAACCTCTGCCTTCCGTGCAGTGGAGCTGTCGTCGTCGCAGGACACCATGGCCCCAGGTGAGGGAGCAGAACACCAACCCCTGTATGTTGTGAGTTCCTGGAGTCCCCATACTGGATTCTGAGGCTCATATTCAAATAGCACCACATGTTATAGGATTACTGAGAACAAAAGCCCACAGAGAGACACGGAGTGAAATCAGGGAAATCAAAAAGCAAAGACATGAACACACACACAGAATGAGCCAGAAGAAGGGAATTGAGAGACTCACAGACACATAAAGAGATAGAAAAAGAGGGCAGAGAAGTGGAGCGTATGATGGAAGGAAGCAGAGAAAAGCCCTAAAATCAGAGCCCTGAGGGAGGGGCACAAAGACAGGGAAAGATAAAGATGTGGGGATGGATTGCAGAGACTCCAAAAGGGAACTAGAGAGACTGAGAGGCAGAGAAAGACAAGGAGATGGAGAGAGACAGATGATAGATGGATAGATAGATATAGATAGATGAAAGATAAAAGGTAGATGATAGATAATAGAGAGACAGGTGATAGACAAATAGATGATGAATGACTGATAGATGATATAGATAGACAAGTAGAAAGACAGACAGATGATATATAAATAGATATAGAGAGATAGAAAGATAAACACATGATGATAGATGGATAGATGCATACATACATACATTGATTGATAGATGATAGATAACAGAGAGATAGGTCATAGATACACAGATGATGATAGATGATAGATACATACATAGATAAATGATAGATCGATCAATAGATAGTAGATAGAAATATGCAGAAAGTTATGAGCAAGACAGAAAGTGAGAGACTCAGAATTAAAGAAAGAGGAAGATCAAGTCAACCAGTCCAAGGAGGGTCAGAGAGAATAAAATGGTACAAAAAAAGAAAACATAGCTAGGGATGGAGAAGTGAGGTCAGAGACCTAGAGAGACAGAGAAGGTGGAAGGAGGAAATAGACATGAAGAGAGATGGGGGTGGAGGGTGAGAGAGAGAAAGAGAGCATTAAGTCATAGAGCAGGGGAGTGAGTTCTCAGCTCAGGTGTGAGGAGAGCTGTGACAACGAAGAACCTCCCTGAGGAAACCACCTCTTCTCCTTCCAGGTCTATATGGGAAACCTTCTCTCTCAGCCCAGCCGGGCCCCACGGTTCAGGCAGGAGAGAATGTGACCTTGTCCTGCAGCTCCCGGAGCTTGTTTGACATTTACCATCTATCCAGGGAGGCAGAGGCCGGTGAACTTAGGCTCACTGCGGTGCTGAGGGTCAATGGAACATTCCAGGCCAACTTCCCTCTGGGCCCTGTGACCCACGGAGGGAACTACAGATGCTTCGGCTCTTTCCGTGCCCTGCCCCACGCGTGGTCAGACCCGAGTGACCCACTGCCCGTTTCTGTCACAGGTGAGAAAACACCATGCCTGTCCCATGTCTTGTGATCCTAGAGCCATAGCTGAGAGCTTCCTGCTGATGATGGAGAGAAGCATGGACAGATGCCGAGACAGAACACACAGCATGGGTGTAAGGGCGGGGTCAGGGGGCAGGATGGCAGACAGGGCACCTCCAAACCCTCCTGTATGGCCTGCAAGGAGGCCCTTGATCAGGGTTCCAGGCACCCAGGCAGATGGAGAAAGAGGTCAGAACAGACCCAGAGGAGGGAGACTGGGCTCTGCCTGGGGAGATCAGAGGTTCTCTCAGCCCCTCAACCTTACCCACTTCCCAGAAGCCCATCCTGGCCTGTCACCCACAGAGAGATGTCATCACCAGCAACGCCTACACCCTTTTCTTTTTGTTTGAAGAAATATTTATTGAGGTGAAATATACCTATGTAATTTACCACCTTTACCATTTTTAAGTGTGAAGTCTACTGTTCATAAATACATTTATAGGCTGGGCACGGTGGCTCACTGTTGTAATCCCAACACTTTGAGAGGCCAAGGCAGGTGGATCATTTGAGATCAGGGGCTCAAGACCACCCTGGCCAACATGGGGAAAATCCATCTGTACTAAAAATACAAAATAATAATAATAATGATAATAATTAGCCGAGCATGGTGGCACATGCCTGTAGTCCCAGCTACTTGGGAGGGTTGGGCAGGAGTTGCACTTAATTGCAGGAGGCGGAGGTTGCAGTGAGCTGAGATCATGCCACTGCACTGCAGCCTGGGCAACAGAGAGAGACACTCTCTCAAAATTAATTAATTAATTAATTAGTATTCTTTTTTTTTTACCCTCCACCCTTCCCTTCCTGGCCTCTGGTAGCCACCATTCTACTCTCTACCTTTGTGAGATCCACCTTTTAGCTCCTGCATATGAGTGAGAAATGGAAATACTTGTAATGACCTCCAGTTCCATTCATGTGGCTGTAAATGACAGGATGTTACTCTTTCTATGGATGAGTTGTCCCTATTGTGTGTGTGTACCACATTCTCTCCATCCATTCACCCACTGATGGGCAGGTAGGTTGATCCACATCTTGGCTACTGTGAACACTGCTGGAACAGTCATGGGAGTGCAGATGTCACTTCGATACGCTGATGTCCTTTCCTTTGGGTTTACACCCAGTCATGGAATTGCTAGATCCTCTGGAAGTGTCTTTTTACATTTTGTTTTATGGTTTTTGTTTTTGTTTTTGTTTTTTTTAGACAGTTTCACTCTTGTTGCCCAGGCTGGAGTGCAGTGGTGCCATCTGGGCTCACTGCAACCTCCACCTCCAGGATTCAAGAGATTCCCCAGCCTCAGCCTCCCAAGTAGCTGGGTTACTGGCTCCCACCACCACACTCGGCTAATTTTTATATTTTTAGTAGAGACAGAGTTTCGCTATATTGGCCAGGCTGCTCTTCAACTCCTGACCTCAAGTGACCTACCCACCTCGGCCTCCCAATGTGCTGGGATTACAGGCATGAACCACTGTGCCCGACCTCATTTTATTTTTTGAGGAACTTCCATACTCTTCTCCTCTGTAATGGCTGTACTAATTTGCATTCGTATCAGCAGTGTACCAGATGCAACCCTGGTTGACTCAGCAGAGCAAGAGACGTGCAGTAAGAGAGAATTTAGCTTATTTATGCACACGACACTTCCACTCACTCACTCGTTCAGCCAATGCCCCATGCTCTGGCTGTGCAGTGTGGAATCTTTTCCTATTGTTGCCATAACAAATTTCCACAAGCTTCGTGGATGAAAACATGTTTTTCTTAATTATCTCACAGTGCTGTAACTCAGAAGTATGAACTGCATTTCACTGGGCTGATATCAAAGGGACAGTAAGGCTGGATTTCTTTTTAAGGTTCCAAGCAAGAATCTGCTCCTTAACGTTTCCCAGCTCCTAGAGGCTCCCACGTTCCTGGGCCCCTGGTCCCCTTCCTCCTTCCTCCTTCCTCAAAGCCCACAAAGGCTGGTCACGTCTCACATGGCATCATTCAGACTCTTCTTCTTTACCCATACCTTTTTCTCTGAATCCTGCTCTGCCTTCTTCCTCATCTTTTAAGGACTTTGGGATTCTATTGGGGTCACCAAGATAATCCATCTCAATCTCCCTAAAATCATCCAGCGTACCCTCTTTTTAAGTTCAGCTGATTAGCAACCGTAATGCCATCTGCAATCTTCATTCCTCCTTTCCTGTAAAATAACATATTCACAAGCTATGGAGGCTAAGACAGGGACATTTTGGGGGTGGGGCAGCATTCTCCTGCCTTCCACAAATGGTAAACAGGATGCATTTGGCCTCTGCTCTTGGGACGCTGATATTGCAGATGGGTAAATGCGAGGGCAGAGAATGAATGCACAAGGGTACCAATAAATGAATGATCCATTGGGAAGCATCTGTGCACCAAATCTGGGGTTTTTTGTGTGTGTGTGTGTTTTTTGTTTTCTTTTTTTTTTTTGAGTAGAGTCTCTCTCTGTTCCACAGGCTGGAGTGCAGTAGCACAATCTCAGCTCATTGCAACCTCTGCCTCCTGGGTTCATGCAATTCTCCTGCCTCAGCCTACCGAGTAGCTGGGATTACAGCTGTGCGCCACCACACTCGGCTAATTTTTTTGGTATATTTTTTAGTAGAAATGAGGTTTCACCATGTTGTGCAGGCTGTCTCAAACTCCCAATCTCAAGTGATCCCACCGCCTTAGCGTCCCTAAGTGCAAAGATTACAGGCGAGAGCTACTGCGCCCAGCCAGGATTTAAAATAAGTAATAGATAATGCTGAGTATATAATTTCAGGTGACAGAGAAGGTCTCACTGATCAGATAATATTTGTGACCTTAATGGAAAAAATGGATTCAACCCTTGGAAGATTGGCGGAAGGATTTTCCACACTGAGCTCTCAGCCGTGAAGGCACAAAGGTGGAAACATTCTTAGTTCAAGGAAGAGGCTCTGCCTCAAATGCTGGGAATGAGATGGGGAGAATGACAAGACAACTGTAGAGAGATGGAGAGCACACTGGGTACACAGGAAACTAAGGAGGAACAAGGAGCATGTTTTTGATACTCACAGCCCTTGGATTCAACTCAGAGCTAACTAGGAATCCCTACCTGATTAACAGTGACCGACATGAAAATAAGGGAGGCCCAGGTGCGTAACTGGAATCTAGGAGACCGTGGAAAAGGCAATTCCCGCCCCACTGGTGAAACGTAGGGTTGATTTACACACTAAATGAATGAAAGATGGATATAAGCTATGCTTGTGAGGTAGAATCATTTGCAGGGAGGGCTTGCTGGGTTTGATTTTTCCTAGTAGTTTAATCCTTGTTTCATTAATTTCTTTCTGAGATGTGTTTTTTTTCTACATCTAAATCAATACCTGGCAGAGGAGCGATAGACACATGAGGGGTGGTGCAAATGAAGGGACCTAGTATAATATAATATACAAGACTGTGGATGGGGGCTCACACCTGTAACCCAACACTTTGGGAGGCCAAGGCGGGTAGATCACTTAAGGGTAGGAGTTTGAGACCAGCCTGGCCAACATGGTGAAACCCCGTCTGTACTAAAAATACAAAAATTAGCCTGGTGCATTGGCACCTGCCTGTAATCCCAGCGACTGGGGAGGCTGAAGCAGAAGAATGGCTTCAACCCTGGAGGCAGAGGTTGAACTGAGATCGCATCACTGCACTCCAGCCTGACACAGGGGGACTCTGTCTCAAAAAATAAAAATAAAACATACATAATTATGACACACAGAAATTACAAAGGCAACTGGATACCAACCATCATTTTTCTATTTCTCTGTGTTTAATTCTTTGACCCTTTATCTTATCCATTAAACAATCAGGTTAAACCTCTTCCTTATTTGGCTTTCTGTGAGCTTGGGATCATATGGAAAATGTGAAAGCCTCCTGAACCCACCAGCACAGGTCCTGGAATAGAGAACGTGCTCTGTTCATGGCATAAAACTTGCCCCTTCACCCAAATCCCCCAATTCATCTCTACTTCCAATCACCTATGGAGATACAGATAGATCATGGGGAGGTAAACACTAATACTCTTTGGAGTGAGCTCAGATCTTGGACTCAGAGACCAGTGCCAGCACTAGCCCCTGGTCACATTTCGTACTAACTCACAGAAGGACAGGCTGTATTGAAACAATAAACGACGGAGAGGGCGGTCCTTCCCCGTGCTTCTCGGGTGGAATAGCAGCCTAATATATGTCTCAGCAGATCACAAAAAGTAGCATGTTGTTCCTGGGCTACATCATTATTTCATGGCTGTTTGATTTAAGTCAGTTCTACTTCACTTTTTTTATCTTGATTTCATTTTTTCTTTCTTTTCTTGGAGAATGTAATTTTTTTGAGTCAAGAGGGTTGTGGTGGTAGAAACTGTAAAGCACATTCGCTGTGTATCAATCCCAATCCAGTCTTCCCAGAGAAGACTCTAAACACCTCCTGGAATGTACCTGGGCCTATACCAATTCCTATCACTCACCGTCACTCCAGGGAGACAGAACACACAGAGAACACATTACACAGGCAGGTTCATTACTAACAGATAAGCAGCGAGTGACAACAGAAGCCTACATTTCAATGTGAGCCAGTCCCTCAAGGCTCAGAAAAGCTGCTCGAGACATGTGGAGTCACCCCATATGCAGTGTATCTGGGGGAAATCAAAAAGCAGCCCAGCCTGGGTTTTGTACCCTGGAGCCACAGGAAGCACTCAGCTAAAGCACTGCATGACGTCCTCCTCCAGGAAGAACAGGAAGACAGCCCAGGCTGTTCTGGGATGTTCCTCCTGATCTCAGGACTTTGCTGTCTTAGTCCATTTTTGTTGCTCTAAAGGAACACTTGAGCCTGGGTAACTTCTAAAGAAAAGAAATGTGTTTGCCTCACAGTTCTGCAGGCTGTACTGGAAGCATGGCACCAGCATCTATTTCTTGTGACGGCCTCAGGCTGCTCCCGCTCTGGCAGAAGGGAAGGAGGGTCTATCTGTGCAGAGACCACAGAGATCACACGGCAAGAGAGGGAGCAAGGGGGAGGGGGAGCGATGGAGCTTCCAAGTTCTTTTTAACAACCAGCTCTCCAGGAACTAATAGAGGGGGAACTTGCTAACCCCATCTCCTTGGGACAGCATTGATCTGTTCATGATGGATCCACCTCCATGACCCAAACACCTCCCAAGAGGCCCAACCTCCCACCCTGGGGGTTACATTTCAATGTGAGGTTTGAAGTGGTCAAACATCTAAACTAAAGCAGTTGTATCCTCAGCACGTTCTATGGTTACTACAACTGAGAAAGCAGGAGGAAGCTAGGTCTCCCGCCATCTGGGTGCTTGTCCTAAAGAGACGTTGTATGTGGTTACCTGTCAATCAAGAAATGTGAGACAATTCATATAGAGGAACTGCTATGATTAGCTTCTTATTGGTGTCTTGTCTTCCTCCAGGTAACTCCAGATACCTGCACGCTCTGATTGGGACCTCAGTGGTCATCATCCCCTTTGCTATCCTCCTCTTCTTTCTCCTTCATCGCTGGTGTGCCAACAAAAAGAGTAAGTCTCACGAAGCAGAAGCCAGAGAGCTCAGGGCCATGTGGGGAAGCAGGATGGGAGCACTCAGGTGTGTGTTCCTTACAGGCAGGATGGTCCCTGACCCAAGGCAGGAGCCACAGAGGCAGGACTTTCTAGAGAGAGCACCAGACTCCCTGCCCCTGCCTTCAGCTCACAGACCATTGCCTGATTCTGAACCATATCCTCACATCCCCTGCAGCCACTCACATCCAGGAGAAGGTTCCATGACAGGCAGAAAGTGGGAGACAGAATCAATGGGATGGGAACTCAGAGCTATTCATGGGATGGGTCCTTGAGCTCAGAGAGATAGAATGTCTGAGTCTGCTGTTGGCAACTGAGGGACCTCAGGCACCTATGGCCTCCCCCTGCATGTTGGTATCTGCTTATGAAATGAGGACCCAGAAGTGCCCTCCGAGCTGTTTTGACGACTTCCGTCTTCTACAGATGCTGTTGTAATGGACCAAGAGCCTGCAGGGAACAGAACAGTGAACAGGGAGGTAGGTGCTCCTCAGCCCAGCCTCATGGCTAGTCTTATTCCCAAAGAGTCCTGAAAAATGTGAGCACCCTCCCTCACTCAGCATTTCCCTCCCTCCAGGACTCTGATGAACAAGACCCTCAGGAGGTGACATACGCACAGTTGAATCACTGCGTTTTCACACAGAGAAAAATCACTCGCCCTTCTCAGAGGCCCAAGACACCCCCAACAGATACCAGCGTGTAACACGGAACTTCCAAATGCTGAGCGCAGATCCAAAGTTGTCTTCTGTCCACCAGCACCACAGTCAGGCCTTGATGGGATCTTCTAGGGAGACAATAGCCCTGTCTCAAAACCGGGTTGCCAGCTCCCATGTACCAGCAGCTGGAATCTGAAGGCGTGAGTCTGCATCTTAGGGCATCGCTCTTCCTCACACCACGAATCTGAACATGCCTCTCTCTTGCTTACAAATGTCTAAGGTCCCCACTGCCTGCTGGAGAGAAAACACACTCCTTTGCTTAGCCCACAATTCTCCATTTCACTTGACCCCTGCCCACCTCTCCAACCTAACTGGCTTACTTCCTAGTCTACTTGAGGCTGCGATCACACTGAGGAACTCACAATTCCAAACATATAAGAGGCTCCCTCTTAACACGGCACTTAGATACATGCTATTCCACCTTTCCTCATGTTGTTCCACCTTTCCTCAGAGTATCTTTCAGCCTTCTGTCAGCAGTAAAACTTATAAATTTTTTTTATAATTTCAATGTAGTTTTCTATTCTTCAAGTAAACATGTCTGCCCTCATGGTTTCGTCAATGGGACTCTTTTCTTGCCTAAGGCTTCCGGTGTTATCATTACCACGTCCACATAACCCCATCTGTTCTCCGCTGGGTTCTCACCCCTGGACTCTGAGCTTCTGGAAGCAGGGTGGAGCCTGAATTGTCTCTGAGACTCCAGTTTCCATCCAAAGATGCAGCACATAGGAGGTTCCAAGGATGGTGAATCAGATGAACAAGTGATATTCTTACTCTCTGCAGATCTGGAAAGCTGGCAGAGTCATTCCACGATGAAACATTTGTAGAGTCATAGGCCTTGTTAGTCTCATCTCCACAGGGACACGTATCAACACATCATCTTTCATACTACTATAAATAGACAGTCACTCCTCCATATCTCTGGGGTTTACACATGTTTATTGAATCAGCAATAAATCAAAAATATTTTGAGAAAAAAAATCCCCGAAGTTTCAAAAAGCAAAAAACTATGTTGAATCGACACAAATTGAGTGGCGTGTAGGCTGTGTCAGGAATTATAAGTAATCAAGAGATGATTTCATGTATACAGGAGGATGTGCATGGGTTCTATGCAATTGCTATGCTATTTTTTTTTTTGAGACAGTCTCACTCTCTCACCCAGGCTGGAGTGCAGTGGCGTGATCTCAACTCACTGCAACCTCCGCCTTCCAGGTTCAAGCGATTCTCTTCCCTCAGCCTCCTCAGTAGCCTCCCCTAGGATTACAGGCACGTGCCACCCTGCACAGATAAATTTTTTTGTGTGTGTATTTTTAGTAGAGACGGGGTTTCAGAATGTTGGACCAGCTGGTCTTGAACTCCTGACCTTGTGATCTACCCAGCTCAGCCTCCCAAAGTGCTGGGATTACGGGCGTGAGCCACGGTGCCCAGCTTCACTATGCCATTTCATGCAAGGGGCTTGAGCATCTGCAGATTTTGGTATCTGAATGGGGATCCTGGAACCAATCACCCAGGTATAGTGAAGGACCATGGTATATAATTTTTATTTGTCAATCTTAAAAATAAAGCATAAAAAATTTACAACAACAAGATAAAAAATAAGAAGTGTTTTTATAGTGTGAGGATAAGTTTAGATTTATTTTTTCCTACGTGTAACCCTATGGTCCTGTGTTATTTGTTGAGAAAATATTCTATTCCACCTTAAACTACATGGCAGCCTTTGTCAACTATAAAGGGACTGTGTATCCACAGATGTATTTTAGACACAGTTTTCTGTCCAGTGGTTCTCTGTATCCCCTCTCATGAGGATGCTGCATTTTATATAAACTTATAGAACCCCTTAAAATTTGGTAACCTGAGTCCTCTGATTTGTTATTATAGGTTATTTAGTTTGCTTTTTTTTTTTCTTGAGACAGACTCTTCCTCTGTCACCCAAGCTGGAGTTCAGTGGCTTGAGCTCAGCTCACTGCAACCTCCGCCTCCCAGGTTCAAGCTATTCTGATGCCTCTGGTTTAGTACTAGAAACTCAAGCAGGAAAATTAGAATGGCTTCTTGTCACAATTACTCTGATAATGTTAATAATACCTGTTAGACATTTTGCACATTACATATGAAGAAGAGTTTGAATCTCAGATAAAAACAAAAATACATCAAAAATCTTTAATGTAAGCACAGAATTCAATCATCTCGTGTATGAGAGGTTGGATCTGAGACGTCTTTTGAGTCTGGTCGTAGTGAAGGACGCAAGGTGTCAATTCTAGTGAGAACAATTTCCAGGAAGCCATGTTCCGCTCTTGAGCGAGCACCCACTGGGCCTCATGCAAGGTAGAAAGAGCCTGCGTACGTCACCCTCCCATGATGTGGTCAACATGTAAACTGCATGGGCAGGGCGCCAAATAACATCCTGTGCGCTGCTGAGCTGAGCTGGGGCGCGGCCGCCTGTCTGCACAGACAGCACCATGTCGCTCATGGTCGTCAGCATGGCGTGTGTTGGTGAGTCCTGGAAGGGAATCGAGGGAGGGAGTGCGGGGATGGAGATCGGGGCCCAGAGTTGGAGATATAGGCCTGGAAGTGGAGTTATGGGCCTAGAGATGGAGTGATGGGCCTAGAAGTGGAGATCTGGGCCTGGAGTGGAGATATGGGCCTGGAGGTTGAGATATGGGCCTGCAGTAGAGATATGGGCTTGTAGTGGAGACATGGGCCTGGAGATGGAGATATGGGCCTGGAGATGGAGATATGGGCCTGCAGTAGAGATATGGGCCTGGAGTGGAGATATGGGCCTGGAGTGGAGATATGGATCTGGAGGTGGAGATACGGGCCTGCAGTAGAGATATGGGCCTGGAGTGGAGATATGGGCCAGGAGTGGAGTTATGGGCCTAGAGGTGGATATCTGGGCCTGGAGTGGAGATATGGGCCTAGGAAGGAGATATGGGCCTGGGTGTGGAGATATGGGACTGGAGAGGTGATATGGGCCTGGAGTGGAGATATGGGCTTAGGGTGGAGATCTGGGCCTGGGGCAGAGATATGGGACTGGATTGGAGATATGGGCCTAGGGTGGAAATATCAGCCTGGAGTGGAGATATGGGCTTGTGGTGGGGATCTGGGCCTGGAAACTGGGTCTCTGCACAGCCGACAGCCCTGTTCTTGGGTGCAGGTAGGCACTGAGGGTGAGTTTAACTTCAGCCCAGGAAGGGCCTGGCTGCCAAGACTCACAGCCCAGTGGGGGCAGCAAGGGAGTCCTGGTTTGCCTGCAGATGGATGGTCCATCATGATCTTTCTTTCCAGGGTTCTTCTTGCTGCAGGGGGCCTGGCCACATGAGGGTGAGTCCTTCTCCAAACCTTCGGTTGTCATCTCCCCACATAAGAGGATTTTCCTGAAACAGGAGGGAAGTCCTGTCAGGGAGTCTCTCATAAACTGGGAAGAGAGGACCCTGGGGTGCTCGGCCCACATTTCTGACCTTGCCTCCCTGGCCTCTCAACCCCTTGGCAGAGTCAAGTTCTGTGGGGACCAGGGTTAGACTGGGGTGCTCAAAGCTGGGGTGTGTGGTGGGGAAGTGGTAGGAACAGCAGATCCTCTGAGGACAAAGGTGTTACTCACACACTTCAGCGTTTCCATGATGGTAGGGGCTGCAGTGTGGCTGCTGTCATTCTACCAGAAGAGGTGGGAAACCACAGCCATGGCCCTGACATTCCAAATCCTCTGATGGGGGCTCAGTTGTTTATTTTCGTTCAGGCATCCGCTGATATCCACTCACAAAGGACATGCCCTCCACCTCATGTCTACCCTGTGTTGTTTTATGTGAGTAATCTTACAGTATTAAAATCTAGTAGGAGTCTCTTTACTCAGCACTTGCTCAAAGTTCTCAGCTGAGGCTTTTGTTGTAGGGAGACACCATGTCTTTGCGGGATGGGTCCTTCCTTCAGCCCTGGGCACCAAGGTGTGATAGTAGCCATAGAAACGTGGAAAGCGAGGAGAATCTTCTGAGCACAGGGAGGGAGGGGCAGTTCCACATCCTCCTCTCTAAGGCGGCGCCTCCTTCTCCCCAAGGTGGTCAGGACAAGCCCTTGCTGTCTGCCTGGCCCAGCCTTGTGGTGCCTCTAGGACATGTCATTCTTCGGTGTCACTCTTATCTTGGGTTTAACAACTTCAGTCTGTACAAGGAAGGTGGGGTGCCTGTCCCTGAGCTCTACAACAGAATATTCTGGAACAGCCTTTTCATGGGCCCTGTGACCCCCGCACAACAGGGACATACAGATGTCGGGGTTCACACACACACTCCCCCAGTGGGTGGTCAGCACCCAGCAACCCCCTGGTGATCGTGGTCATAGGTCAGAGGGCTCCTGTCTTGGATTCTCCTTGTCCCACCTCCTGAATCCCAGAGCTTCTGGTGGGCATGTCCTTGAGGGTCCCATCACGCAGGCCCTGACTGTATTTGTGGTAAAGGGGGATTGAATACAGGGAAATGGGTGCTGTGGTGGGAAGAATAATTGTCCCCAGTGATGACTACATTCTAATCCCTGGAGTCTGTGACTATGTATGTTATAGGGGAAGGGACTGAAGGGGAAGATGGAGCTCATGGGGAGACAGCCTGGACTGTCCCACTGGGCTCAGTGTAATCACAAGGGTGCACATGAAAGGAGGAGGAAGAGGGGAGTGGGGATTAGAGCAGTCCAGTGGAAGTCTTCACCAGCTTTGAAGGTGGAGGAAGGCCAAGAGCCATGAATGCAGGTGGCCTATAGAGGCTGGAAAAGTCAAGGAACTGATTCTCCAGAGTCTCCAGAGGAAACGAAGCCCTGCAGATGCCTTGATTTTAGCCCAGGAAAAATAGGGTCCAATTTCTGTCTCCAGTACTGGAAGGTGTCAGTGTGGTCTCTCCTGCTTCCATGCTTCTGATAATTTTGTACAGCAGCAACAGGAAACCAACACTGGAACCCAGGTCAAGGACAAGTTAAGAAACAACCCAAGGAAAGCCAGGCATGGTGGCAGGCGCATGTAATCCTAGCGACTCAGGAGGCTGAGGGCAGGAGAATCACTTGAACCCAGGAAACAGAGGTTGCAGTGAGCCTAGACCACACCACTTCACTCCAGCCTGGGTGAAGGAGTGAGACTCTGTCTCCAAAATTAATTAATTAATTAAAGAAACCAAACAAGGAGAAGGTTGGCTACCCTGAGATCAGCAAGGGTGGGATGATGATGCCACCACCAGGCTCCATCCACATAGGGAGGGGTTGATACTCCTCCAACCAGCACCAGGAGCCAGCCTATGGAAGCTGGCACCATGGAGAAGGCACAGGCATGGCAAGAGTGGCTCCCAGTCCCGACCAGGAACAGGGTGTGTGGACACTGGTGCCTGCCTTATTCATCAGTTCATACCTTCTGCCAAGGATTGCAATTCATCCAAAAGAGATTGAACAAGGCTGATAAGAGCCTGGATGTGCAGCCTATCCTGGTTCCTCTTTCACCCCCACATAAACAGCAGGAAAGACGTTAGTGTGAAATAGATACAACACCCCAAGAGATGAGGCTAAGCCCAGTGGGAAGGGAATCAGAGGCTACTAGAGACAGAGGGACAGAGAAGAGGGAGGGAGACAGATGGAAGGACCTGCACCAGGAGTTATGGGCACAGAAAAGAACATGAAGACACAGAGAGGAAGGAGAGAGACAGACACCAGCAAGGGGAAGCCTCACTCATTCTAGGTGCCATGGATGGGATGATAAAGAGAGACACCTTCTAAACTCACAACCTCTCTTCTTAGGAGTCCACAGAAAACCTTCCCTCCTGGCCCACCCAGGTCCCCTGGTGAAATCAGAAGAGACAGTCATCCTGCAATGTTGGTCAGATGTCAGGTTTGAGCACTTCCTTCTGCACAGAGAGGGGAAGTATAAGGACACTTTGCACCTCATTGGAGAGCACCATGATGGGGTCTCCAAGGCCAACTTCTCCATCGGTCCCATGATGCAAGACCTTGCAGGGACCTACAGATGCTACGGTTCTGTTACTCACTCCCCCTATCAGTTGTCAGCTCCCAGTGACCCTCTGGACATCGTCATCACAGGTGAGAGTGTCCGGACATTCTCATTGTCATTGGGCTGCAGAGTGAATGATCCACGACTTGGAACCCCCAGGTAGTTGTAAGGAAGATGAGCTTGGTATTCTTATGGAGAGAGACTGACTTGCTGAGGTTTGTACCAACAGAGACAGAGAAACAGGAGACACAAGTACAGACCAGGTGTCATAACGGAGGACAGACACAGGGGCCATACAGGGAGTTAGAAAAGACAGAAAGAGTTAAAGGAGACAGACAGACAGACATGTCCCAGAGAGAGGTGTCCCTCCATGCTGACTTTGCTCACAGACCTGGCACAGGATAGAAGTTTCATTTCTGTTTTACCTCCACAAAGTGTTCTCTACCAGGAGAACCCAAGGACACCCATATTTCTGACCTGAGTTGGGCCCTGTGGCCTCAGGCCTTGTGGCACCTACAGGCCATGTTTATTCTGACACCTCTGCCTTCCATGTAATGGAGAGTAACCGTCCCAGGATATCATGGCCCCAGAACACCAACCCCTGTATGCTGTGTGAACTTGTGGTCTCCAGACTGGATTCTGAGGCTCACATTCCAAATAACCCCACATATGAAAGGATCACTGAGAGGCACAGAGAGAAATCAGGAACACCAAAAAGCAAAGACATAAACACACAGAGAATGGGCCAGAGGAAGGAGATTGAGAGACTCACTGACACATAAAGAGAGAGAAAAGAGGGCAGAGGAGTGGTGAGAATGATGGAAGGGAGCAGAGAAAAGCACTAAAATTAGAGTCCTGAGGGAGAGGCACAAGGACATAGAAAGATGGAGATGTGGGGATGAACTGCAGAGATTCCAAAGAGAACTAGAGAGACCGAGAGGCAGAGCAAGACAGATGATAGATGGATAGATATAGATAGATGATAAATAGGTAGATGATAGATAATAGGTTAAAGATACATAGATGATGATTGATTGATTCATTAATAGATAATACATAGAGATGATGATGATGAAGACAGATAGATAATACGTACAGATAGAGAGGCAGACAGAAATCATAGAGAGAGAGATGATACATACATATAAATAACAGATGATTGATGGATAGATAGACAACTGATAGATACATAGATGATATATAGATATAGATGACAGGTAGAGAATTTGTAGATAGGCACCGAATAGATAAATAGATAGATCGACAGATAATAGATAGAAATATGCAGAAAGTTATGAACAGGACACAACGTGAGAAACTTAGAATTTAAAAAAGTAACATCAAGTCAACCAATCCAAGGAGAGTCAGAGAGAATAAAAGAATCCAAAAAGGGAAAACATATCTAGAGGTGGGGAAGCGAGGTCAGAGACCTAGAGAGACAGAGAAGGTGGAAGGAGGAAATAGACATGAAGAGAGATGGGGTGGAGGGTGAGAGAGAGAGAGAGAGAGCATTAGGTCATAGAGCAGGGGAGTGAGTTCTCAGCTCAGGTGAAGGGAGCTGTGACAAGGAAGATCCTCCCTGAGGAAAATGCCTCTTCTCCTTCCAGGTCTATATGAGAAACCTTCTCTCTCAGCCCAGCCGGGCCCCACGGTTTTGGCAGGAGAGAGCGTGACCTTGTCCTGCAGCTCCCGGAGCTCCTATGACATGTACCATCTATCCAGGGAGGGGGAGGCCCATGAACGTAGGTTCTCTGCAGGGCCCAAGGTCAACGGAACATTCCAGGCCGACTTTCCTCTGGGCCCTGCCACCCACGGAGGAACCTACAGATGCTTCGGCTCTTTCCGTGACTCTCCCTATGAGTGGTCAAACTCGAGTGACCCACTGCTTGTTTCTGTCACAGGTGAGGAAACCCCATATCTGTCTCATGTCCTATGATCCTAGAGCCTTAGCTGAGGAGCTTCCTGCTGATGATGGAGAGAAGCATGGACAGATGCAGAGAGAAGACGAAGCTTGGGTGTGAGGGAGGGATCAGGGCACAGGATGGCAGACAGGGCACCTCCAAACCCTCCTACACGGCCTGCATGAAGGCCCGCGGCCAGGGCTCCAGGCACACAGGCAGATGGAGAAAACGGTCAGGAGAGACCCAGAGGAGAGAGACTGGGCTCAGTTTGGGAAGATCAGAGGTTCCCTCAGCCCCTCAACATTATCCATTTCCCAGAAGCCCATCCTGGCCTCTCACCCACACAGGGATGTCATCACCAGCAACCCCTACACCCTTTACTTTTGTTTGAAGAAATATTTATTGAGGATAAATATACCTATATAGCTTACCACCTTTAACATTTTTTTTTTTTTTGAGGCAGAGTCTAGCTCTGTCCCCTATGCTGGAGTGCAGTGGCACAATCTCAGCTCACTGCAATTTCCGCCTCCTGGGTTCAAGCGATTCTCTTGCCTCAGCCACCTGAGTAGCTGGTGCTACAGGCGCGCACCACCACGCCAGGCTACTTTTTGTATTTTTAGTAGAGAGGTGGTTTCACCATGTTGGTCGAGCTGGTCTCCAACTCCTGACCACGTGATCCACCCGCATGTGCCTCCCAAAGTGCTGGGATTACAGGCATGAGCCACCACGCCCAGCCACATTTACCATTTTTAAGTGTAAAGTCTAGTGGTCATAAATACATTTATATATATATATATATTTTTTTTTTTTTTACCCTCCACCCTTTTCTTCCTGGCCTCTGGAAGCCATCATTCTACTCTCTACCTTCATGAGATCCACCTTTTAGCTCTGTATATGGGTGAGAAATGGGAATCTTTGTAATGACTTCCAGTTCCATCCATGTGGCTGCAAATATCAGGATGTTATTCTTTCTATGGATGAGTAGTCTCCACTGTGCGTATGTACTACATTCTCTCTATCCATTCATCCACTGATGGGCAGGTAGGTTGACTCCACATCTTGGCTACTGTGAACAGTGCTGCACCAATCATACGAGTGCAGATATCACTTCGATATATTGATTTACTTTCCTTTGGATATAAACCCAGTAGTGAAATTGCTGGATACTATGAAAGTTCTCTTTTTAGTTTTTCGTTTGTTGTTTTGTTTTTGTTTTTGAGACAGTTTCCCTCTGTGCCCAGGCTGGAGTACAAGTGATGTCATCTTGGCTCATTGCAACCTCTGCCTCCTGGGTTCAAATGATTTTCCTGCCTCAGCCTCCCTAGTAGCTGGGATTACAGGTGCACGCCACCATGCCTGGCTACTTTTTGTTTTTTTTAGTATAGATGGGGTTTCCCCATGTTGGCTGGGCTGCTCTCAAACTCATGACCTCAACTGAGATGCCCGCCTCAGTCTCCCAAAGTGCTGGGATTACAGGCCTGATCCACCACACCCAACCTCTTTTTAGTTCTTTAAAGGACTTCCATACTTTTCTCCGTAATCGCTGTACTAATTTACACTCCTCCCAACAGGGTACCAGGGTTCTCCTTTCTCTACCACCTTGCCAGCATTTCTTTTGCCTGTCTTGCAGCTAAAAGCCATTTTATTTTATTTCATTTTATTTTGAATGGAGTTTTGCTCTTCTCACCCAGGCAGGAGTGCAGTGGCGCTATCTCGGCTCACCACAACCTCCACCTCCCAGGTTCAAGCGATTCTCCTGCCTCAGCCTCCCGAGTAGCTGGAATTACAGGCACACTCCACCACGCCCGACTAATTTTTGTATTTTTAGTAGAGACAGTGTTTCTCTATGTGGGTCAGACTGGTCTCAAACTCCTGACCTTATGAGATTCACCCACCTCAGGCTCTCAAAGTTCTAGGATGACAGACGTGAGCCACCACGCCCGGCCTAAAAGCCATTTTAATGGGGTGAGATGAAAACTCACTTTGATTTTAATTTGCGTTTCTCTGATGATGAGTGATACTGAGCACTTTTTAGTATGTGGGGAAATTTCATGTCTTCTGCTCCTTTTTCAATTAAATCATTTGTTTTATTGAGTTGTTTGAGCTTCTTATATTTCTAGTTATTAATCCCATCTCAGATGCATAGTTTGCACATATTTGCTCCCAATCTGTGGGTTGTCTCTTCACTTTGTTGGTTTATTTTTAGCAGTGCAGAAGTTGCTTAGTTTGAGGTAATCCCAATGGTCTATTTTTGCTTCGATTACTTGTGTTTTCAAGGTTTAAAACAAAATGTCTTTCTTCAGACAAATGTCCTGGAGCATTTCCCCAATATTTTGTTCTACGTGTTTCATAGGTTCAGGCCTTAGACTCACATCTTTAATCCATTTTCATTTGATTTTTGTGTATGGTGACAGGTAGAGGTGCAGTTTCATTCCTCTGCATGTCGATGTCCAGGTTTCCCTGCACTGTTTATTGAAAAGACTGTCCTTTCCTGATTGTGAGTTCTTGGCACCTTTGTCAAAGTCCATTGGATGGGCTGGGCTTGGTGGCTGACACCTGCAATTTCAGCACTTTGGGAGGCCGAGGCGGGTGGATTACCTGAGGCCAGGAGTTCAAGATCAGTCTGGACGACGTGATGAAACATCGTCTCCACTAAAAATATAAAAATTAGCTGAGCATGGTGGTCAGCACCTGTAATACCACTACTCAGGAGTTTGAGGCAAGAGAATGATTGAACCCAGGAGGCTGAGGTTGCAGTGAACTGAGATTGCACCTCTGCACTCCAGCCTGAGTGACAGAGCAAGACTCCATCTCAAAAGAAAAAATAAAAAACCATTGGATGTAAATGCATGGAATATATCTGTGTTATTCATTCTGCTCCGTTGTTCTATGTCCCTTTCTTTATGCCAATGTCATGCTGTTTTGCTTACTACAGCTCTGTAACATATTTTGAGATCAGGTAGTGTGATGCTCCTGTTTTCTCTTTATACCTTGAAGTCTCAAGACAGTGGGCGTCACATAAAAAAATTATGGAAAAAAGGATCCCAGGACTCCCAGGGCCCAATATTAGATAACAGAGTGTTGGCCATGAACCATCCTCAAAGATTTCCACTGAGTAGAGGACAGACACCCTCATTTCCTCACCTCTCTCCTGTCTCATGTTCTAGGAAACCCTTCAAATAGTTGGCCTTCACCCACTGAACCAAGCTCCAAAACCGGTGAGTACAGAACCCTCTTATATCCGCTTTTGGAAACCTGGGGAGGTGGAAACCTTGGATTCAGGCGTTGACTCAGCATCTCACAGCTCTGACATTGTACCCCTGTCTTCCACCATCTCCGAACTCCAGATACTCCTACAGCGAAAGGGATCTGGGTCCAACACAGGGCTCAGTGAAATCTCTTCATCTCTCATTTTATGGAGCTGAGACTTCCTACAAGCTAGAAGAATGATTGCCAATCTGACATCCTTCTCAGGAAAAATGCAATGTTTGTTCTGCCTGCATTCCTAACTGGAGGATAAATTCCTGGAGACTTGAGAGAGGGAAGGGAAGGGAACATCTGATGAGGGCGAGGTGTTTTAGAGAAGTTCCACTTGCCAAGGAATGAGCTCCTATAGGTCATGAAGCAACCCTGGCTGACTCAGCAGAGAAAGAGCCTTGCTGTAACAGAGAACAGAGCTCATGCACGCACACTTCGACTCACTGACTCATTCAGCCACGGCCCCATGCTCAGGCTGTGCACTGTGGAAGCTTTTCCTATTGTTGCCATAACAAATTTCCACAAGATTCGTGGGTGAAAACAAAACGGTTTTTTAATTATCTTACAGTGCTGTAGCTCAAAGTATGAAGTGCATCTCACTGGGCTAAAATCAAGGTGACAGCAAGGCTGCCTTCCCTCTGAGGATTCCAGGCAAGAATCTGCTTCTCACTTTTCTCAGCTTCTAGAGGCTCCCACATTCCTTCGCTCCTGGTCCCCTTCCTCCTTCCTCAAAGCCCACAAAGACTGGTCACATCTCACATGGCATCACTCAGACCCTTCTTCCTTACCACACCTCTTTCTCTGAATGCTGCTCTCCCTTCTTCCTCATCTTTTGAAAACTTGGGGATTCTATTGGGTTCACCAAGATGAAAATCCATCATAATCTCCCGGAAATCATTCAGGATACCCTTGTTTTAAGTTCAGCTGATTAGCAACCATAATTCCATCTGCAATCTTCATTCCTCCTTTCCATGTAAAATAAGATATTCACAAGCTATGGAGGCTAGGACAGGGACATTTTGGGGTGGGACAGCATTCTCCTGCCTTCCACAAACAGTGAACAAGATGCATTTGGCCTCTGCTCTTTGGACACTGATATTGCAGATGGTTAAATGGGAGGGCAGAAAATGAATGCACAAGTGGACCAATAAATGAATGATCCATTGGGAAGCATCTGTGTATGAAATCTATTTGTTTGTTTCTTCATTTGTTTATTGAGACAGAGTCTCCCTCTGTCTTCCAGGCTACAGTGCAGTGTCACCATCTTGGCTCACTGCAACCTGCACCTTCTGGATCCAAGTGATTCTCCTGCGTCAGCCTCTCAAGTAGCTGGGATTACAGGCAACTGCCACCATGCCCGGCTAATTCTTTTTGTATATTTTTTGTAGAGGATGTTTCACCATCTTCGCCAAGCTTCTCTGAAACTCCCAACCTCAAGTGATCCGACCGTCTCAGCATCCTAAAGTACTGGGATAACTGGCGTGAGCCACTGTGCCCAGCCAGAATTTAAAATAAATAATACATAATGCTGAGTGTATGATTTTGGGTGACAGAGAAGATCTCACTAATCAGATATTTGTGACATTAATGAAAAACACGGATTGAACCCCTGAAAGATTGGCGGAAGGATTTTCCACACACAGCTGTCAGCCGTGAAGGCAGAAAGCTGAAAACAATCTGATGTGGAAGGAAGAGGCTCTGCCTCAAATGCTGGGAATGAGGTGGGGAGAATGACAAGACGACTGTGGAGAGACGGAGAGCACACTGGGTACACAGGAAACTAAGGAGCAACAAGGAGTGTGTGTTTGACACTCACAGCCATTGGATTCACCTCGGGGTAGCCAGGAATCCCTACATGATTAATAGTGACTGACATGAAAATAAGGGAGGCCCAGGTGCATAACTGGAATCTAGGAGACTGTGGAAAAGGCAATTCCCGCCCCACTGGTGAAATGTGGTGCTGATTTAGACCCTAACTGGGTGAAGCAGATGGATATAAGCTATGCTTGTGAGGTGGAATCATTGGCTGGAAAGGCTTGCTGGGTATGATTTTCCTAGTTGTCTAATCCTCGCTTAATTTCTTTCTGAGCTTTATTCCTACTACACATAAATCAATACCTGGCAAAGGAGTGACAGATATATGAGGGGTGGTGGAAATGAAGGGACCTATTATAGCATAATATACAAGTCTGTGAACGGTGGCTCACGCCTGTAACCCAGCACTGCAGGAGGCCAAGGCGGGTGGATCACATGAAGTCAGCAGTTCGAGACCAGCCTGGCCAACATGGTGAAACCCTGTCTCTAGGAAAAACACAAAAATTAGCCGAGCATGGTGGTGCATCCCTGTAATCCCAGCTCCTACTCTGGAGGATGAAGCAGGAGAATGACTTCAACCCAGGAGGTGGAGGTTGCAGTGAGTGGAGATTGCATCACTGCACTCCAGCCTGGGTGACACAAGGAGACTCCGTCTCAAAAAATAAAAATAAGAAATGCATAAATATAAATATAATATAACACATGCAAATGAGAAAGGGACCTGAATTCCAATCATGATTTTTCTATTTCTCTATAATTACTTCTTTGATCCTTTATCTTATCCATTAGGCAATGAGCCTAAAACCTCTTCCCTATTTGGCTTTCTGTGAGCATGAGATCATATAGAAAATGTGAAAGCCCGCTGAATCCTCCAGCACAGATCCTGGAATACACAAAGTGCTCTGTTCATCACAAGAAAACATGCCCTCTCACCCAAATCCCCCACCTCACCCCTACTTCCAATCATCTGTGGAGATTCAGATAGGCCATGGGGAGGTAAATTCTAATACTCCTTGGAGTGAGTCCAGATCTTGGAATCAGAGATTAGCGTCAGCAGTAGCTCCTGCTCCCCTTTCCTACTAATTCACAGGAGGACAGGTGGTATTGAAGCAATAGATGGCCGAGGGGGTGGTCCTTCCCCCAGCCTCTCGGGTAGAACAGCAACCTAACATGTGTCTCCTGAGATCACAAAGAGTAGCACGTTTCACATGGGCTTCAACACTGTTTCCTGGCCATTTGACATAAGAGAATTCTACTTCGCTTTTTTTATCTTGATTTCACTTTTGTTTCCTTTTCTTGGAGAATGCAAGTTGTTTGACTCAAGAATGCCGTGGATGTAGAAATCCTAAAGCACAGTCGCTGTGTATCAATCCCAGTGCAGTCTTCCCAGAGAAGACTCTAAACACCTCCTGGACTGCACCTGGGCCTATGCCAATTCCTATCACTCACCGTCACTCCAGGGAGACAGAACACACAGAGAATACATTACACAGGCAGGTTCATTACTAACAGATAAGCAGCGAGTGACAACAGAAGCCTACATTTCAATGTGAGCCAGTCCCTCAAGGCTCAGAAAAGCTGCTCGGGACATATGGAGTCACCCCATTTGCAGTGTAGCTGGGGGAAGCCAGAAAGCAGCCCAGCCTGGGTTTTGTACCCTGGAGCCACAGGAAGCACTCAGCTAAAGCACTGCATGACGCCTTCCTCCAGGAAGAACAGGAAGACAGCCCAGGCTGTTCTGAGACATTCCTCCTGATCTCAGGTCGTTGCTGTCTTAGTTTTTTTTTTTGTTGCTCTGAAGGAACACTTGAGCCTCGGTAACTTCTAAAGAAAAGAGATCGGTTTGCCTCACAGTTCTGCAGGCTGTACTGGAAGCATGGCACCAGAATCTATTTCTCGTGATGGCCTCAGGCTGCTCCCACTCTGGCAGAAGGGAAGGAGGGTCTGTCTGTGCAGAGACCACAGAGATCACACGGCAAGAGAGAGAGTAAGGGGGAGAGGGAGCAATGGAGCTTCCAAGCTCTTTTTAACAACCAGCTGTCCAGGAACTAACAGAGGGGGAACTTGCTAACCCCGTCTCCTTGGGACAGCATTGATCTGTTCATGATGGATCCACCTCCATGACCCAAACACCTCTGAAGAGGCCCAACCTCCCACAATGGGGGTGAAATTTCAATGTGAGGTTTGAAGGGGTCAAACATCTCAACTAAAGTAGTTGTATCCTCAGCACGTTCTATGGTTACTATGAGAGCTATAATTGAGAAAGCAGGGGAAAGCTAGGTCTCCCGCCATTTGGGTGCTTGTCCTAAAGAGACGTTGTATGTGGTTACCTGCCAATCAAGAAATGCGAGACAATTCATAAAGAGGAACTGCTATGATTAGCTTCTTATTGGTGTCTCCTCTTCTTCCAGGTAACCCCAGACACCTGCATGTTCTGATTGGGACCTCAGTGGTCAAAATCCCTTTCACCATCCTCCTCTTCTTTCTCCTTCATCGCTGGTGCTCCAACAAAAAAAGTAAGTCTCACGAAGCAGAGGCCAGAGAGCTCAGGGCCATGTGGGGAAGCAGGATGGGAGCACTCAGGTGTGTGTTCCTCACCAGCAGGATGGTCCCTGGCCCAAGACAGGAGCCACAGAGGCAGGACTTTCTAGAGAGAGCACCAGATTCCCTTCCCCTGCCTTCAGCTCACAGACCGTTGCCTGATTCTGAACTGTACCCTCACGTCCCCTGCAGCCACTCACATCCAGGAGAAGGTTCCATGACAGGCAGAAAGTGGGAGATAGAATCAATGGGATGGGAACTCAGAGCTATTCATGGGATGGGTCCTTGAACTCAGAGAGATAGAATGTCTGAGTCTGCTGTTGGCAACTGAGGGACCTCAGGCACCTATGGCCTCCCCCTGTTTGTTGGTATCTGCTTATGAAATGAGGACCCAGAAGTGCCCTCCGAGCTCTTTTGTTGACTTCCGTCTTCTACAGATGCTGCTGTAATGGACCAAGAGCCTGCAGGGAACAGAACAGTGAACAGCGAGGTAGGTGCTCCTCGGCCCAGCCTCGTGGCTAGTCTTATTCCCAAAGAGTCCTGAAAAATGTGAGCACCCTCCCTCACTCAGCATTTCCCTCTCTCCAGGATTCTGATGAACAAGACCATCAGGAGGTGTCATACGCATAATTGGATCACTGTGTTTTCACACAGAGAGAAATCACTCGCCCTTCTGAGAGGCCCAAGACACCCCCAACAGATACCAGCATGTACATAGAACTTCCAAATGCTGAGCCCAGATCCAAAGTTGTCTTCTGTCCACGAGCACCACAGTCAGGCCTTGAGGGGATCTTCTAGGGAGACAACAGCCCTGTCTCAAAACCGGGTTGCCAGCTCCCATGTACCAGCAGCTGGAATCTGAAGGCATCAGTCTTCATCTTAGGGCATCGCTCTTCCTCACACCACGAATCTGAACATGCCTCTCTCTTGCTTACAAATGTCTAAGGTCCCCACTGCCTGCTGGAGAGAAAACACACTCCTTTGCTTAGCCCACAATTCTCCATTTCACTTGACCCCTGCCCACCTCTCCAACCTAACTAGCTTACTTCCTAGTCTACCTGAGGCTGCAATCACACTGAGGAACTCACAATTCCAAACATACAAGAGGCTCCCTCTTAACACAGCACTTAGACACGTGCTGTTCCACCTCCCTTCAGACTATCTTTCAGCCTTCTGCCAGCAGTAAAACTTATAAATTTTTTAAATAATTTCAATGTAGTTTTCCCGCCTTCAAATAAACATGTCTGCCCTCATGGTTTCGGTAACGAGACTCTTCTCTTGCCTAAGGCTTCCGGTGTTATCATTACCATGTCCACATAACCCCATCTGTTCTCCATTGGGTTCTCAGCCCTGGACTCTGAGCTTCTGGAAGCAGAATGGAGCCTGAATTGTCTCTGAGACTCCAATTTCCATCCAAAGATACAGCACATAGGAGGCTCCAAGGATCGTGAATCACATGAACAAGTGATATTCTTACTCTCTGCAGACCTGGAAAGCTGGCAGAGTCATTCCACGATGAAACATTTGTAGAGTCATAGGCCTTGTTAGTCTCATCTCCACGGGGACACATATCAACATATCATCTTTCATAATATAAATATACAGTCGGTCCTCCATATCTGTGGGGTTTACAGGTGTTTATTGAACCAACAATAAATCAAAAATATTTTGAGAAAAAAATCCCCGAAGTTTCAAGAAGCAAAAAACTATGTTGAATCGACACAAATTGAGTGGCGTGTAGGCTGTGTCAGGAATTATAAGTAATCAAGAGATGATTTCATGTATACAGGAGGATGTGCATGGGTTCTATGCAATTGCTATGCTATTTTTTTTTTTTGAGACAGTCTCACTCTCTCACCCAGGCTGGAGTGCAGTGGCGTGATCTCAACTCACTGCAACCTCCGCCTCCCAGGTTCAAGCGATTGTCTTCCCTCAGCCTCCCCAGTAGCCTCCCCTAGGATTACAGGCACGTGCCACCATGCACAGATAAATTTTTTTGTGTGTGTATTTTTAGTAGAGACGGGGTTTCAGAATGTTGGACCAGCTGGTCTTGAACTCCTGACCTTGTGATCTACCCAGCTCAGCCTCCCAAAGTGCTGGGATTACGGGCGTGAGCCACGGTGCCCAGCTTCACTATGCCATTTCATGCAAGGGGCTTGAGCATCTGCAGATTTTGGTATCTGAATGGGGATCCTGGAACCAATCACCCAGGTATAGTGAAGGACCATGGTATATAATTTTTATTTGTCAATCTTAAAAATAAAGCATAAAAAATTTACAACAACAAGATAAAAAATAAGAAGTGTTTTTATAGTGTGAGGATAAGTTTAGATTTATTTTTTCCTACGTGTAACCCTATGGTCCTGTGTTATTTGTTGAGAAAATATTCTATTCCACCTTAAACTACATGGCAGCCTTTGTCAACTATAAAGGGACTGTGTATCCACAGATGTATTTTAGACACAGTTTTCTGTCCAGTGGTTCTCTGTATCCCCTCTCATGAGGATGCTGCATTTTATATAAACTTATAGAACCCCTTAAAATTTGGTAACCTGAGTCCTCTGATTTGTTATTATAGGTTATTTAGTTTGCTTTTTTTTTTTTCTTGAGACAGACTCTTCCTCTGTCACCCAAGCTGGAGTTCAGTGGCTTGAGCTCAGCTCACTGCAACCTCCGCCTCCCAGGTTCAAGCTATTCTGATGCCTCTGGTTTAGTACTAGAAACTCAAGCAGGAAAATTAGAATGGCTTCTTGTCACAATTACTCTGATAATGTTAATAATACCTGTTAGACATTTTGCACATTACATATGAAGAAGAGTTTGAATCTCAGATAAAAACAAAAATACATCAAAAATCTTTAATGTAAGCACAGAATTCAATCATCTCGTGTATGAGAGGTTGGATCTGAGACGTCTTTTGAGTCTGGTCGTAGTGAAGGACGCAAGGTGTCAATTCTAGTGAGAACAATTTCCAGGAAGCCATGTTCCGCTCTTGAGCGAGCACCCACTGGGCCTCATGCAAGGTAGAAAGAGCCTGCGTACGTCACCCTCCCATGATGTGGTCAACATGTAAACTGCATGGGCAGGGCGCCAAATAACATCCTGTGCGCTGCTGAGCTGAGCTGGGGCGCGGCCGCCTGTCTGCACAGACAGCACCATGTCGCTCATGGTCGTCAGCATGGCGTGTGTTGGTGAGTCCTGGAAGGGAATCGAGGGAGGGAGTGCGGGGATGGAGATCGGGGCCCAGAGTTGGAGATATAGGCCTGGAAGTGGAGTTATGGGCCTAGAGATGGAGTGATGGGCCTAGAAGTGGAGATCTGGGCCTGGAGTGGAGATATGGGCCTGGAGGTTGAGATATGGGCCTGCAGTAGAGATATGGGCTTGTAGTGGAGACATGGGCCTGGAGATGGAGATATGGGCCTGGAGATGGAGATATGGGCCTGCAGTAGAGATAGGGGCCTGGAGTGGAGATATGGGCCTGGAGTGGAGATATGGGCCTGAAGTGGAGATATGGGCCTGGAGGTGGAGATATGGGCCTGGAGGTGGAGATATGGGCCTGGAGTGGAGATATGGGTCTGGAGGTGGAGATACGGGCCTGCAGTAGAGATATGGGCCTGGAGTGGAGATATGGGCCAGGAGTGGAGTTATGGGCCTAGAGGTGGATATCTGGGCCTGGAGTGGAGATATGGGCCTAGGAAGGAGATATGGGCCTGGGTGTGGAGATATGGGACTGGAGAGGTGATATGGGCCTGGAGTGGAGATATGGGCTTAGGGTGGAGTTCTGGGCCTGGGGCGGAGATATGGGACTGGATTGGAGATAGGGGCCTAGGGTGGAGATCTGAGCCTGGATTGGCGATATGGGCCTAGGGTGGAAATATCAGCCTGGAGTGGAGATATGGGCTTGGGGTGGGGATATGGGCCTGGAAACTGGGTCTCTGCACAGCCGACAGCCCTGTTCTTGGGTGCAGGTAGGCACTGAGGGTGAGTTTAACTTCAGCCCAGGAAGGGCCTGGCTGCCAAGACTCACAGCCCAGTGGGGGCAGCAAGGGAGGGCTGGTTCGCCTGCAGATGGATCGTCCATCATGATCTTTCTTTCCAGGGTTCTTCTTGCTGCAGGGGGCCTGGCCACATGAGGGTGAGTCCTTCTCCAAACCTTCGGGTGTCATCTCCCCACATAAGAGGATTTTCCTGAAACAGGAGGGAAGTCCTGTCGGGGAGTCTCTCATAAACTAGGAAGAGAGGACCCTGGGGTGCTCAGCCCACATTTCTGACCTCGCCTCCCTGGCCTCTCAACCCCTTGGCAGAGTCAAGTTCTGTGGGGACCAGGGTTAGACTGGGGTGCTCAAAGCTGGGGTGTGTGGTTGGGAAGTGGTAGGAACAGCAGATCCTCTGAGGACAAAGGTGTTACTCACACACTTCAGCGTTTCCATGATGGTAGGGGCTGCAGTGTGGCTGCTGTCATTCTACCAGAAGAGGTGGGAAACCACAGCCATGGCCCTGACATTCCAAATCCTCTGATGGGGGCTCAGTTGTTTATTTTCGTTCAGGCATCCGCTGATATCCATTCACAAAGGACATGCCCTCCACCTCATGTCTACCCTGTGTTGTTTTATGTGAGTAATCTTACAGTATCAAAATCTAGTAGGAGTCTCTTTACTCAGCACTTGCTCAAAGTTCTCAGCTGAGGCTTTTGTTGTAGGGAGACACCATGTCTTTGCGGGATGGGTCCTTCCTTCAGCCCTGGGCACCAAGGTGTGATAGTAGCCATAGAAACGTGGAAAGCGAGGAGAATCTTCTGAGCACAGGGAGGGAGGGGCAGTTCCACATCCTCCTCTCTAAGGCGGCGCCTCCTTCTCCCCAAGGTGGTCAGGACAAGCCCTTGCTGTCTGCCTGGCCCAGCCTTGTGGTGCCTCTAGGACATGTCATTCTTCGGTGTCACTCTTATCTTGGGTTTAACAACTTCAGTCTGTACAAGGAAGGTGGGGTGCCTGTCCCTGAGCTCTACAACAGAATATTCTGGAACAGCCTTTTCATGGGCCCTGTGACCCCCGCACAACAGGGACATACAGATGTCGGGGTTCACACACACACTCCCCCAGTGGGTGGTCAGCACCCAGCAACCCCCTGGTGATCGTGGTCATAGGTCAGAGGGCTCCTGTCTTGGATTCTCCTTGTCCCACCTCCTGAATCCCAGAGCTTCTGGTGGGCATGTCCTTGAGGGTCCCATCACGCAGGCCCTGACTGTATTTGTGGTAAAGGGGGATTGAATACAGGGAAATGGGTGCTGTGGTGGGAAGAATAATTGTCCCCAGTGATGACTACATTCTAATCCCTGGAGTCTGTGACTATGTATGTTATAGGGGAAGGGACTGAAGGGGAAGATGGAGCTCATGGGGAGACAGCCTGGACTGTCCCACTGGGCTCAGTGTAATCACAAGGGTGCACATGAAAGGAGGAGGAAGAGGGGAGTGGGGATTAGAGCAGTCCAGTGGAAGTCTTCACCAGCTTTGAAGGTGGAGGAAGGCCAAGAGCCATGAATGCAGGTGGCCTATAGAGGCTGGAAAAGTCAAGGAACTGATTCTCCAGAGTCTCCAGAGGGAACAAAGCCCTGCAGATGCCTTGATTTTAGCCCAGGAAAAATAGGGTCCAATTTCTGTCTCCAGTACTGGAAGGTGTCAGTGTGGTCTCTCCTGCTTCCATGCTTCTGATAATTTTGTACAGCAGCAACAGGAAACCAACACTGGAACCCAGGTCAAGGACAAGTTAAGAAACAACCCAAGGAAAGCCAGGCATGGTGGCAGGTGCATGTAATCCTAGCGACTCAGGAGGCTGAGGGCAGGAGAATCACTTGAACCCAGGAAACAGAGGTTGCAGTGAGCCTAGACCACACCACTTCACTCCAGCCTGGGTGAAGGAGTGAGACTCTGTCTCCAAAATTAATTAATTAATTAAAGAAACCAAAGAAGGAGAAGGTTGGCTACCCTGAGATCAGCAAGGGTGGGATGATGATGCCACCACCAGGCTCCATCCACATAGGGAGGGGTTGATACTCCTCCAACCAGCACCAGGAGCCAGCCTATGGAAGCTGGCACCATGGAGAAGGCACAGGCATGGCAAGAGTGGCTCCCAGTCCCCACCAGGAACAGGGTGTGTGGACACTGGTGCCTGCCTTATTCATCAGTTCATATCTTCTGCCAAGGATTGCAATTCATCCAAAAGAGATTGAACCAGGCTGATAAGAGCCTGGATGTGCAGCCTATCCTGGTTCCTCTTTCACCCCCACATAAACAGCAGGAAAGACATTAGTGTGAAATAGATACAACACCCCAAGAGATGAGGCTAAGCCCAGTGGGAAGGGAATCAGAGGCTACTAGAGACAGAGGGACAGAGAAGAGGGAGGGAGACAGATGGAAGGACCTGCACCAGGAGTTAAGGGCACAGAAAAGAACATGAAGACACAGAGAGGAAGGAGAGAGACAGACACCAGCAAGGGGAAGCCTCACTCATTCTAGGTGCCATGGATGGGATGATAAAGAGAGACACCTTCTAAACTCACAACCTCTCTTCCTAGGAGTCCACAGAAAACCTTCCCTCCTGGCCCACCCAGGTCGCCTGGTGAAATCAGAAGAGACAGTCATCCTGCAATGTTGGTCAGATGTCAGGTTTGAGCACTTCCTTCTGCACAGAGAAGGGAAGTTTAAGGACACTTTGCACCTCATTGGAGAGCACCATGATGGGGTCTCCAAAGCCAACTTCTCCATCGGTCCCATGATGCAAGACCTTGCAGGGACCTACAGATGCTACGGTTCTGTTACTCACTCCCCCTATCAGTTGTCAGCTCCCAGTGACCCTCTGGACATCGTCATCACAGGTGAGAGTGTCCGGACATTCTCATTGTCATTGGGCTGCAGAGTGAATGATCCACGACTTGGAACCCCCAGGTAGTTGTAAGGAAGATGAGCTTGGTATTCTTATGGAGAGAGACTGACTTGCTGAGGTTTGTACCAACAGAGACAGAGAAACAGGAGACACAAGTACAGACCAGGTGTCATAACGGAGGACAGACACAGGGGCCATACAGGGAGTTAGAAAAGACAGAAAGAGTTAAAAGAGACAGACAGACAGACATGTCCCAGAGAGAGGTGTCCCTCCATGCTGACTTTGCTCACAGACCTGGCACAGGTTAGAAGTTTCATTTCTGTTTTACCTCCACAAAGTGTTCTCTACCAGGAGAACCCAAGGACACCCATATTTCTGACCTGAGTTGGGCCCTGTGGCCTCAGGCCTTGTGGCACCTACAGGCCATGTTTATTCTGACACCTCTGCCTTCCATGTAATGGAGAGTAACCGTCCCAGGATATCATGGCCCCAGAACACCAACCCCTGTATGCTGTGTGAACTTGTGGTCTCCAGACTGGATTCTGAGGCTCACATTCCAAATAACCCCACATATGAAAGGATCACTGAGAGGCACAGAGAAAAATCAGGAACACCAAAAAGCAAAGACATAAACACACGGAGAATGAGCCAGAGGAAGGAGATTGAGAGACTCACAGACACATAAAGAGAGAGAAAAGAGGGCAGAGGAGTGGTGAGAATGATGGCAGGGAGCAGAGAAAAGCACTAAAATTAGAGTCCTGAGAGAGAGGCACAAGGACATAGAAACATGGAGATGTGGGGATGAATTGCAGAGATTCCAAAGAGAGCTAGAGAGACCGAGAGGCAGAGCAATACAGATGATAGATGGATAGATATAGATAGATGATAAATAGGTAGATGATAGATAATAGGTTAAAGATACATAGATGATGATTGATTGATTCATTAATAGATAATACATAGAGATGATGATGATGAAGACAGATAATACGTACAGATAGAGAGGCAGACAGAAATCATAGAGAGAGAGATGATACATACATATAAATAACAGATGATTGATGGATAGATAGACAACTGATAGATACATAGATGATATATAGATATAGATGACAGGTAGAGAATTTGTAGATAGGCACCGAATAGATAAATAGATAGATCGACAGATAATAGATAGAAATATGCAGAAAGTTATGAACAGGACACAACGTGAGAAACTTAGAATTTAAAAAAGTAACATCAAGTCAACCAACCCAAGGAGAGTCAGAGAGAATAAAACAATCCAAAAACGGAAAACATATCTAGAGGTGGGGAAGCGAGGTCAGAGACCTAGAGAGACAGAGAAGGTGGAAGAAGGAAATAGATATGAAGAGAGATGGGGTGGAGGGTGAGAGAGAGAGAGAGAGAGCATTAGGTCATAGAGCAGGGGAGTGAGTTCTCAGCTCAGGTGAAGGGAGCTGTGACAAGGAAGATCCTCCCTGAGGAAAATGCCTCTTCTCCTTCCAGGTCTATATGAGAAACCTTCTCTCTCAGCCCAGCCGGGCCCCACGGTTCTGGCAGGAGAGAGCGTGACCTTGTCCTGCAGCTCCCGGAGCTCCTATGACATGTACCATCTATCCAGGGAGGGGGAGGCCCATGAATGTAGGTTCTCTGCAGGGCCCAAGGTCAACGGAACATTCCAGGCCGACTTTCCTCTGGGCCCTGCCACCCACGGAGGAACCTACAGATGCTTCGGCTCTTTCCGTGACTCTCCATACGAGTGGTCAAACTCGAGTGACCCACTGCTTGTTTCTGTCATAGGTGAGGAAACCCCATATCTGTCTCATGTCCTATGATCCTAGAGCCTTAGCTGAGGAGCTTCCTGCTGATGATGGAGATAAGCATGGACAGATGCAGAGAGAAGACGAAGCTTGGGTGTGAGGGAGGGATCAGGGCACAGGATGGCAGACAGGGCACCTCCAAACCCTCCTACACGGCCTGCATGAAGGCCCGCGGCCAGGGCTCCAGGCACACAGGCAGATGGAGAAAGCGGTCAGGAGAGACCCAGAGGAGGGAGACTGGGCTCAGTTTGGGAAGATCAGAGGTTCCCTCAGCCCCTCAACATTACCCATTTCCCAGAAGCCCATCCTGGCCTCTCACCCACACAGGGATGTCATCACCAGCAACCCCTACACCCTTTACTTTTGTTTGAAGAAATATTTATTGAGGATAAATATACCTATATAGCTTACCACCTTTAACATTTTTTTTTTTTTTGAGGCAGAGTCTAGCTCTGTCCCCTATGCTGCAGTGCAGTGGCACAATCTCAGCTCACTGCAACTTCCGCCTCCTGGGTTCAAGTGATTCTCCTGCCTCAGCCACCTGAGTAGCTGGTGCTACAGGCGCGCACCACCACGCCAGGCTACTTTTTGTATTTTTAGTAGAGAGGTGGTTTCACCATGTTGGTCGAGCTGGTCTCCAACTCCTGACCACGTGATCCACCCGCATCTGCCTCCCAAAGTGCTGGGATTACAGGCATGAGCCACCACTCCCAGCCACATTTACCATTTTTAAGTGTAAAGTCTAGTGGTCATAAATACATTTATAAATATATATATATATATATGTATGTATATATATATACACACACATATATATACATATATATATGTGTATATATATATATATATATTTTTTTTTTTTTACCCTCCACCCTTTTCTTCCTGGCCTCTGGAAGCCACCATTCTACTCTCTACCTTCATGAGATCCACCTTTTAGCTCTGTATATGGGTGAGAAATGGGAATCTTTGTAATGACTTGCAGTTCCATCCATGTGGCTGCAAATATCAGGATGTTATTCTTTCTATGGATGAGTAGTCTCCACTGTGCGTATGTACTACATTCTCTCTATCCATTCATCCACTGATGGGCAGGTAGGTTGACTCCACATCTTGGCTACTGTGAACAGTGCTGCACCAATCATACGAGTGCAGATATCACTTCGATATATTGATTTACTTTCCTTTGGATATAAACCCAGTAGTGAAATTGCTGGATACTATGAAAGTTCTCTTTTTAGTTATTCGTTTGTTGTTTTGTTTTTGTTTTTGAGACAGTTTCCCTCTGTGCCCAGGCTGGAGTACAAGTGATGTCATCTTGGCTCATTGCAACCTCTGCCTCCTGGGTTCAAATGATTTTCCTACCTCAGCCTCCCTAGTAGCTGGGATTACAGGTGCACGCCACCATGCCTGGCTACTTTTTGGTTTTTTTAGTATAGATGGGGTTTCCCCATGTTGGCTGGGCTGCTCTCAAACTCATGACCTCAACTGAGGTGTCCGCCTCGGTCTCCCAAAGTGCCGGGATTACAGGCATGATCCACCTCACCCAACCTCTTTTTAGTTCTTTAAAGGACTTCCACACTTTTCTCCGTAAAGGCTGTACTAATTTACACTCCTACCAACAGGGTATTAGGGTTCTCCTTTCTCTACCACTTTGGCAGGATTTCCTTTGCCTGTCTTGCAGCTAAAAGCCATTTTACTTTATTTCATTTTATTTTGAGATGGAGTTTCGCTCTTGTCACCCAGGCTGGAGTGCAGTGGTGCGATCTCGGCTCACCACAACCTCCACCTCCCAGGTTCAAGCGATTCTCCTGCCTCAGCCTCCCGAGTAGCTGGAATTACAGGCACACGCCACCACGCCCGACTAATTTTTGTATTTTTAGTAGAGACAGTGTTTCTCCATGTGGGTCAGACTGGTCTCAAACTCCCGACCTTATGAGATTCACCCACCTCAGGCTCTCAAAGATCTAGGATGACAGACGTGAGCCACCACGCCCGGCCTAAAAGCCATTTTAATGGGGTGAGATGAAAACTCACTTTGATTTTAATTTGCGTTTCTCTGATGATGAGTGATACTGAGCAGTTTTTCGTATGTGGGGAAATTTCATGTCTTTTGCTCCTGTTTCAATTAAATCATTTGTTTTATTGAGTTGTTTGAGCTTCTTATATTTCTAGTTATTAATCCCATCTCAGATGCATAGTTTGCACATATTTGCTCCCAATCTGTGGGTTGTCTCTTCACTTTGTTGGTTTATTTTTAGCGGTGCAGAAGTTGCTTAGCTTGAGGTAATCCCAATGGTCTATTTTTGCTTCGATTACTTGTGTTTTGAAGGTTTAAAACAAAATGTCTTCCTTCAGACAAATGTCCTGGAGCATTTCCCCAATATTTTCTTCTACGTGTTTCATAGGTTCAGGCCTTAGACTCACATCTTTAATCCATTTTCATTTGATTTTTGTGTATGGTGACAGGTAGAGGTGCAGTTTCATTCCTCTGCATGTAGATGTCCAGGTTTCCCTGCACTGTTTATTGAAAAGACTGTCCTTTCCTGATTGTGAGTTCTTGGCACCTTTGTCAAAGTCCATTGGATGGGCTGGGCATGGTGACTGACACCTGCAATTTCAGCACTTTGGGAGCCCAAGGCGGGTGGATCACCTGAGGCCAGGAGTTCAAGATTAGTCTGGCCGACGTGATGAAACATCGTCTCCACTAAAAATATATAAATTAGCTGAGCATGGTGGTCAGCACCTATAATACCACTACTCAGGAGTTTGAGGCCAGAGAATTGATTGAACCCAGGAGGCTGTGGTGGCAGTGAACCGAGATTGCACCTCTGCACTCCAGCCTGGGTGACAGAGCGAGACTCCATCTCAAAAGAAAAAAGAAAAAAACATTGGATGTAAATGCATGGATTATATTTGTGTTGTTCATTCTGCTCCATTGTTCTATGTGCCTTTCTTCATGCCAACATCATGCTGTCTTGCTTACTACAGCTCTGTAACATATTTTGAGATCAGGTAGTGTGATGCTCCTGTTTTCTCTTTATACCTTGAAGTCTCAAGACAATGGGCGTCACATACAAAAATTATGGAAAAAAGGATCCCAGGACTCCCAGGGCCCAATATTAGATAACAGAGTGTTGGCCATGAACCAACCTCAAAGATTTCCATTGAGTAGAGGACAGACACCCTCATTTCCTCACCTCTCTCCTGTCTCATGTTCTAGGAAACCCTTCAAATAGTTGGCCTTCACCCACTGAACCAAGCTCTAAAACCGGTGAGTACAGAACCCTCTTATATCCGCTTTTGGAAACCTGGGGAGGTAGAAACCTTCGATGCAGGCATTGACTCAGCATCTCGCAGCTCTGACATTGTACGCCTGTCTTCTACCATCTCCGAACTCCAGATACTCCAACAGCGAAAGGGATCTGGGCCCAACCTAGGGCTCAGTGAAATCTCTTAATCTCTCATTTTATGGAGCTGAGACCTCCTACAAGCTAGAAGAATGATTGCCAATCTGACATCCTTCTCAGGAAAAATGCAATGTTTGTTCTGCCTGCATTCCTAACTGGAGGATAAATTCCTGGGGGCTTGAGAGAGGGAAGGGAAGGGAACATCTGATGAGGGCGAGGTGTTTTAGAGAAGTTCCACTTGCCAAGGAATGAATTACTGTTGGTCATGAAGCAACCCTGGCTGACTCAGCAGAGCAACAGCCTTGCCGTAACAGAGAACGGAGCTCATGCACGCACACTTCGACTCACTGACTCATTCAGCCACGGCCCCATGCTCAGGCTGTGCAGTGCGGAACCTTTTCCTATTGTTGCCATAACAAATTTCCACAAGATTCGTGGGTGAAAACAAAACGGTTTTTTAATTATCTTACAGTGCTGTAGCTCAAAGTAGGAAGTGCATCTTACTGGGCTAAAATCAAGGTGACAGCAAGGCTGCCTTCCCTCTGAGGATTCCAGGCAAGAATCTGCTTCTCACTTGTCCCAGCTTCTAAAGGCTCCCAGTTCCTTGGCTCCTGGTCCCCTTCCTCCTTCCTCAAAACCCACAAAGACTGGTCACATCTCACATGGCATCACTCAGTGCCTTCTTCCTTACCACACCTCTTTCTCTGAATGCTGCTCTCCCTTCTTCCTTATCTTTTGAAAACTTGGGGATTCTATTGGGTTCACCAAGATGAAAATCCCTCATAATCTCCTGGAAATCATCCAGGATACCCTTGTTTTAAGTTCAGCTGATTAGCAACCGTAATTCCATCTACAATCTTCATTCCTCCTTTCCATGTAAAATAACATATTCACAAGGTATGGAGGCTAGGACAGGGACATTTTGGGGTGGGACAGCATTCTCCTGCCTTCCACAAACAGTGAACAAGATGCATTTGGCCTCTGCCCTTGGGACACTGATATTGCAGATGGTTAAATGGGAGGGCAGAAAATGAATGCACAAGTGGATCTATAAATGAATGATCCATTGGGAAGCATCTGTGCATGAAATCTATTTTTTGTTTGTTCTTTTGTTTATTGAGACAGAGTTGCCCTCTGTCTTCCAGGCTACAGTGCAGTGTCACGATCTTGGCTCACTGCAACCTGCTTCTCCTGGATTCAAGTGATTCTCCTGCCTCCGCCTCTCGAGTAGCTGGGATTACAGGCAACTGCCACCGTGCCCGGCTAATTCTTTTTGTATATTTTTTGTAGAGAGGATGTTTCACCACGTTGGCCAAGCTTGTCTGAAACTCCCAACCTCAAGTGATCCGACCGTCTCAGCATGCCAAAGTAATGGGACTACAGGCGTGAGCCACTGTGCCCAGCCAGAATTCAAAATCAATAATAGATAATGCTGAGTGTATGATTTCAGGTGACAAAGAAGGTCTCACTATTCAGATATTTGTGACATTAATGAAAAACACGGATTGAACCCCTGAAAGATTGGCGGAAGGATTTTGCACACACAGCTGTCAGCCGTGAAGGCACAAAGGTGAAAACAATCTGATGTGGAAGGAAGAGGCTCTTCCTCAAATGCTGGGAATGATGTGGGGAGAATGACAAGATGACTGTGGAGAGACGGAGAGCACACTGGGTACACAGGAAACTAAGGAGGAACAAGGAGTGTGTGTTTGACACTCACAGCCATTGGATTCACCTCGGGGTAGCCAGGAATCCCTACATGATTAATATGACTGACATGAAAATAAGGGAGGCTCAGTTGCATAACTGGAATCTAGGAGACCGTGGAAAAGGCAATTGCCGCCCCACTGGTGAAATGTGGTGCTGATTTAGACACTAAATGAATGAAGTAGATGGATATAAGATAGGTTTGTGAGGTAGAATCATTGACTGGAAAGGCTTGCTGGGTTTGATTTTCCTACTTGTTTAATCCTCGCTTAATTAATTTCTTTCTGAGATTTATTCATCCTACACATAAATCAATACCTGGCAAAGGAGTGACAGATATATGAGGGGTGGTGGAAATGAAGAGACCTATTATAGCATAATATACAAGTCTGTGAACGGTGGCTCACGCCTGTAACCCAGCACTGCAGGAGGCCAAGGCGGGTGGATCACATGAAGTCAGCAGTTCGAGACCAGCCTGGCCAACATGGTGAAACCCTGTCTCTAGGAAAAACACAAAAATTAGCCGAGCATGGTGGTGCATCCCTGTAATCCCAGCTCCTACTCTGGAGGATGAAGCAGGAGAATGACTTCAACCCAGGAGGTGGAGGTTGCAGTGAGTGGAGGTTGCATCACTGCACTCCAGCCTGGGTGGCACAAGGAGACTCCGTCTCAAAAAATAAAAATAAGAAATGCATAAATATAAATATAATATAACACACGCAAATGACAAAGGGACCTGAATTCCAATCATGATTTTTCTATTTCTCTATAATTACTTCTTTGATCCTTTATCTTATCCATTAGGCAATGAGCCTAAAACCTCTTCCCTATTTGGCTTTCTGTGAGCATGAGATCATATAGAAAATGTGAAAGTCCGCTGAATCCTCCAGCACAGATCCTGGAATAGAGAAAGTGCTCTGGTCATCACAAAAAAAACTTGCCCACTCACCCAAATCCCCCACCTCACCCCTACTTCCAATCACCTGTGGAGATTCAGGTAGACCATGGGGAGGTAAACATTAACACTCCTTGGAGTGAGTCCAGATCTTGGAATCAGAGATCAGCGACAGCACTAGCTCCTGCTCCCCTTTCCTACTAATTCACAGGAGGACAGGTGGTATTGAAGCAATAGATGGCCGAGGGGGTGGTCCTTCCCCCAGCCTCTCGGGTAGAACAGCAGCCTAATATGTGTCTCCCGAGATCACAAAGAGCAGCAGGTTTCACACGGGCTTCAACACTATTTCCTGGCCGTTTGACATAAGAGAATTCTATTTCGCTTTTTTTATCTTGATTTCACTTTTGTTTTCTTTCCTTGGAGAATGCAAGTTGTTTGATTCAAGAATGCTGTGGATGTAGAAACCCTAAAGCACATTCGCTGTGAATCAATCCCAGTCCAGTCTTCCCAGAGAAGACTCTAAACACCTCCTGGACTGCACCTGGGCCTATGCCAATTCCTATCACTCACCGTCACTCCAGGGAGACAGAACACACAGAGAATACGTTACATAGGCAGGTTCATTACTAACAGATAAGCAGCGAGTGACAACAGAAACCTATATTTCAATGTGAGCCAGTCCCTCAAGGCTCAGAAAAGCTCCTCGGGACATATGGAGTCACCCCATTTGCAGTGTAGCTGCGGGAAGCCAGAAAGCAGCCCAGCCTGGGTTTTGTACCCTGGAGCCACAGGAAGCACTCAGCTAAAGCACTGCATGACGTCCTCCAGGAAGAACAGGAAGACAGCCCAGGGTGTTCTGAGACGTTCCTCCTGATCTCAGGAAGTTGCTGTCTTAGGCCATTTTTGTTGCTCTAAAGGAACACTTGAGCCTCGGTAACTTCTAAAGAAAAGAGATTGGTTTGCCTCACCGTTCTGCAGGCTGTACTGGAAGCATGGCACCAGCATCTATTTCTCGTGACGGCCTCAGGCTGCTCCCACTCTGGCAGAAGGGAAGGAGGGTCTGTCTGTGCAGAGACCACAGAGATCACACGGCAAGAGAGGGAGCAAGGGGGAGGGGGAGTGATGGAGCTTCCAAGCTCTTTTTAACAACCAGCTCTCCGGGAACTAATAGAGGGGGAACTTGCTAACCCCGTCTCCTTGGGACAGCATTGATGTGTTCATGATGGATCCACCTCCATGACCCAAACACCTCTCAAGAGGCCCAACCTCCCACAGTGGGGGTGAAATTTCAATGTGAGGTTTGAAGGGGTCAAACATCTCAACTAAAGTAGTCGTATCCTCAGCACGTTCTATGGTTACTATGAGAGCTATAACTGAAAAAGCAGGAGAAAGCTGGGTCTCCTGCCATCTGGGTGCTTGTCCTAAAGAGATGTTTTATGTGGTTACCTGTCAATCAAGAAATGCGAGACAATTCATAAAGAGGAACTGCTAAGATTAGCTTCTTATTGGTGTCTCATCTTCTTCCAGGTAACCCCCGACACCTGCACATTCTGATTGGGACCTCAGTGGTCATCATCCTCTTCATCCTCCTCTTCTTTCTCCTTCATCGCTGGTGCTCCAACAAAAAAAGTAAGTCTCACGAAGCAGAGGCCAGAGAGCTCAGGGCCATGTGGGGAAGCAGGATGGGAGCACTCAGGTGTGTGTTCCTCACAAACAGGATGGTCCCTGGCCCAAGGCAGCAGCCACAGAGGCAGGACTTTCTAGAGAGGGCACCAGACTCCCTGCCCCTGCCTTCAACTCACAGACCGTTGCCTGATTCTGAACTGTATCCTCATGTCCCCTGCAGCCACTCACATCCAGGAGAAGGTTCCATGACAGGCAGAAAGTGGGAGACAGAATCAATGGGATGGGAACTCAGAGCTATTCATGGGATGGGTCCTTGAGCTCAGAGAGATAGAATGTCTGAGTCTGCTGTTGGCAACTGAGGGACCTCAGCCACCTATGGTCTCCCCCTGTATGTTGGTATCTGCTTATGAAATGAGGACCCAGAAGTGCCCTCCGAGCTGTTTTGTTGACTTCCGTCTCCTACAGATGCTGCGGTAATGGACCAAGAGTCTGCAGGGAACAGAACAGCGAATAGCGAGGTAGGTACTCCTCGGCCCGGGCTCGTGGCTACTGTTATTCCCAAAGAGTCCTGGAAAATGTGAGCACCCTCCCTCACTCAGCATTTCCCTCTCTCCAGGACTCTGATGAACAAGACCCTCAGGAGGTGACATACACACAGTTGAATCACTGCGTTTTCACACAGAGAAAAATCACTCGCCCTTCTCAGAGGCCCAAGACACCCCCAACAGATATCATCGTGTACGCGGAACTTCCAAATGCTGAGTCCAGATCCAAAGTTGTCTCCTGCCCATGAGCACCACAGTCAGGCCTTGAGGGCGTCTTCTAGGGAGACAACAGCCCTGTCTCAAAACCGGGTTGCCAGCTCCCATGTACCAGCAGCTGGAATCTGAAGGCATGAGTCTGCATCTTAGGGCATCGCTCTTCCTCACACCACAAATCTGAATGTGCCTCTCACTTGCTTACAAATGTCTAAGGTCCCCACTGCCTGCTGGAGAAAAAACACACTCCTTTGCTTAGCCCACAGTTCTCCATTTCACTTGACCCCTGCCCACCTCTCCAACCTAACTGGCTTACTTCCTAGTCTACTTGAGGCTGCAATCACACTGAGGAACTCACAATTCCAAACATACAAGAGGCTCCCTCTTAACGCAGCACTTAGACACGTGTTGTTCCACCTTCCCTCATGCTGTTCCACCTCCCCTCAGACTAGCTTTCAGTCTTCTGTCAGCAGTAAAACTTATATATTTTTTAAAATAACTTCAATGTAGTTTTCCATCCTTCAAATAAACATGTCTGCCCCCATGGTTTCGGTAATGGGACTCTTTTCTTGCCTAAGGCTTCCGGTGTTATCAGTACCATGTCCATATAATCCCATCTGTTCCCCACTGAGTTCTCATCCCCGGACTCTGAGTTTCTGGAAGCAGGGTGGAGCCTCATTTGTCTCTGAGACTCCAATTTCCATCCAAAGATGTAGCACATAGGAGGTTCCAAGGATCACGAATCATATGAACAAGTGATACTCTTACTCTCTGCAGACCTGGAAAGCTGGCAGAGTCATTCCACAATGAAACATTTGTAGAATCATAGGCCTTGTTAGTCTCATCTCCATGGGGACACATATCAACACATCATCTTTCATAATATAAATATACGGTCACTCCTCCATATCTGCGGGGTTTACAGGTGTTTATTGAACCAAGTATAAATCAAAAATATTGAGAGAAAGTATCCACAGAGTTTCAAAAAGCATAACTATGTTGAATGGACACAAATGAAGCTGTGTGTAGGCTGTATCAGGAATTATAAGTAATCTAGAGATGATTTCATGTATACAGGAGGATGTGCATAGGTTATTTGCAAACTCTGTGCCATTTCATATAAGAGGCTTGAGCATCTACAGATTTTGGTATCTGAGTGGAGATCTCAAAACCAATCACCCACGAATAGTGAAGGATGACCGTATATGACTTTTATTTCTCAAATTTAAATATAAATCATAAAAAATGTACAACTAGATAAAAACTAAGAAGTGTTTTTATAGTGTGAGTTAGATTTATTTTTTCCTAGGTGTAACCAATTGGTTTAATATTATTTATTGAGAAGACATTCTATGCCACCTTAAACCACACGGCAGCCTTTGTCAACTCTAAAGGGACTGTGTGTACATGGATGTATTTTAGACACTGTTTCTGCTAAGGGGCTCTCTGTGTCCACACTCTTGATGATGCTGCACTTTATGTAGCCTTATAGAACCCTTTAAATTTAGTAGCCAGAGCCCTCTAATTTGTTATTATAGGCTGTTTGCTTTTTTTTTCTTGAGGCGGAGTCTTGCTCTGTCGCCCAGGCTGGACTGCAGTGACACAATCTCAGCTCACTGCAACCTCCGCCTCCCAGGTTCAAGCGATTCTCGTGCCTCAGCCTCTTGAGCAGCTGGCGTTACAGGTGCCTGCCACCAGGCACGGCTAATTTTTGGATTTTTAACAGAGACACGGTTTCACTATATTGGCCAAGCTGCTCTCAAACTCCTTATCTCAGTTGATCCGCCCACCTCGGCTTCCCAACGTGCTGGGGAAAACTTGATTTTCTATAGCATTATGTTACTGGATATTTCTGTAAAATTTAAAACGAGGGAGGGAGAGAGACAGACAGAGAGCAAACTCCAGAGTTGGGACTCTGGAATCTTGGGTCATGAGACAAATTTTAGATTAAACTACAAAACTCCAGAATTTACAGGTGTGGTTTTTGCTGATAAAGTACAATTCTAAGATTGTAAATAATTGCATAATCCTTCCCTGGGAATTTAAATCATTTTAGCTGGTTCTGCTGTAATACTAGAAATACAAGCATGAAAAATTCTAATGGTTTATTAGTCACAATGACTCCGAAAACATTAATAATACCTATTAGATACTTTGCATATTACACAGGAAGAAGAGTTTGAATCTCAGATAAAAACAAAAAAAATACATGAAAAGTCTTTCATGTTAGCACAGATTTTAGGCATCTCGTGTTCGGATAAAAATACATGAAAAGTCTTTCACGTTAGCACAGATTTTAGGCATCTTGTGTTCGGGAGGTTGGATCTGAGACGTGTTGTGAGTTGGTCATAGTGAAGGACGTGAGGTGCCAATTCTAGTGAGAACAATTTCCAGGAAGCCGTGTTCCGCTCTTGAGCAAGCATCCACTGGGCCTCATGCAAGGTAGAAAGAGCCTGCGTACGTCACCCTCCCATGATGTAGTCAACATGTAAGCTGCATGGGCAGGGCGCCAAATAACATCCTGTGCGCTGCTGAGCTGAGCTGGGGCGCGGCTGCCTGTCTGCACCGGCAGCACCATGTCGCTCATGGTCGTCAGCATGGCGTGTGTTGGTGAGTCCTGGAAAGGAATAGAGGGAGGGAGCGCGGGGATGGAGATCTGGGCCCAGAGGTGGAGATATAGGCCTGGAGGTGGAGTTATGGGCCTGGAGTGGAGATCTGGGCCTGGAGTGGATATATGGGCCTGGAGATGGAGTGATGGGCCTAGAAGTGGAGATCTGGGTCTGGAGTGGAGATATGGGCCTGGAGGTGGAGATATGGGCCTGGAGTGGAGATCTGGGCCTGGAGTGGAGATAGGAACCTGGAGGGGAGATATGAGCCTGGAGTGAAGATATTGGCCTGGGATGGAGATATGGGCCTGGAGTGGAGACATGGGCCTGGAGGTGGAGATATGGGCCTGGAGGTGGAGACATGGGCCTAGAGGTGGATATCTGGGCCTGGAGTGGACATATGGGCCTAGGATGGAGATATGGGCCTGGGTGTGGAGATATGGGCTTGGGGTGGAGATATGGGCCTGGATTGGAGATATGGGTCTAGGGTGGAAATATTGGCCTGGAGTGGAGATATGGGCCTGGAGTGGAGATATGGGCTTGGGGTGGGGATAGGGGCCTGGGGTGCGGATATGGGCCTGCAGGCTGGGTCTCTACACAGCCGACAGCCCTGTTCTTGGGTGCAGGCTGGCACTGAGGGTGAGTTTCCCTTCAGCCCAGCAAGGGCCTGGCTACCAAGACTCACAGCCCAGTGGGGGCAGCAAGGGAGTCCTGGTTTGCCTGCAGATGGATGGTCCATCATGATCTTTCTTTCCAGGGTTCTTCTTGCTGCAGGGGGCCTGGACACATGAGGGTGAGTCCTTCTCCAAACCTTCGGGTGTCATCTCCCCACATAAGAGGATTTTCCTGAAACAGGAGGGAAGCCCGGTGGGGGATTTTCTTATAAACAAGGATGAGGAGACCCTGGGGTGCTCAGCCCACAGTTCCGACCTTGCCCTCCCCAGCCTTCCTTTCCCTTGGCTGAGTCAGGTTCTGTGGGAACCCGGGAGGGTAGACTGGGGTCCTCCAAGCTGGGCTGTGCGGCTGGGATGTGGTGTCACTGGCAGAGGAAGGGAGCAAAGCAGTGCTAGGAACAGCAGGCCTCTGAGGACAAAGGTGTAACTCACACCCTCCAGCGTTTCCATGACGGTAGGGGCTGCAGTGTGGCTGCTGTCATTCTACCTCAGAGGTGGGGGAACCCCAGCCAGGGCCCTGACCTTCCAAATCCTCTGTTGGGGGCTCAGTTGTGTATTGTGGTTCACACATTGGCTGATATTCCATTCACAAAGAACATGCCCTCGACCCCATGTCTATTTGTGTTGTTTTATGTGAGTAATCTTGCAGTATTAAAATCTAGTAGGAGTCCCTTACTCAGCACTTGCTCAAAGTTCTCAGCTGACACTTTTGTTGTAGAGAGACGCCAAGTCTATGCGGGGTGGGTCCTTCCCGTAGCCATGGGCACCCAAGTGTGGTAGGAGCCTTAGAAACGAGGAAAGTGGGGAGAATCTTCTGAGCACTGGCAGGGAGGGGCGGCTCCACATCCTCCTTTCTAAGGTGGCGCCTCCTTCTCCCCCAGGTGGACAGGACAAGCCCTTGCTGTCTGCCTGGCCCAGCGCTGTGGTGCCTCGAGGAGGACATGTGACTCTTCTGTGTCGCTCTCGTCTTGGGTTTACCATCTTCAGTCTGTACAAAGAAGATGGGGTGCCTGTCCCTGAGCTCTACAACAAAATATTCTGGAAGAGCATCCTCATGGGCCCTGTGACCCCTGCACACGCAGGGACCTACAGATGTCGGGGTTCACACCCGCGCTCCCCCATTGAGTGGTCGGCACCCAGCAACCCCCTGGTGATCGTGGTCACAGGTCAGAGGACTCATGTCTGGGCTTCTCCTTCTCCCACTTCCTGAATCCCAGAGCATCTGGTGGGGGTGTCCACCAGGGTCCAATCATCCAGGCCCTGACTGTATTTGGTGTCAATGGGGATTGAATACAGGGGAATGGGTGCTGTGGTGGAAAGAGTAACTGTCGGCAGCATGGCTATATTGTAATCCTTGGAGCCTGTGACTATTTATGTTATAGGACATGGGACTGAAGGGGAAGATGGAGTTCAGGTTGTTGATGAGTTGACCTTGAGATGGGGAGACGACCTGGACTCTCCCACTGGGCTCAGTGTAATCACAAGGGTCCACATGAGAGGAGGAGGAAGAGGAGAGTGGGGATTAGAGCAGCGTAGTGGGAGGGAGAGTCCACCAGCCACTGCGGGCTTTGAAAGTGGAGGAAGGCCAGAAGCCACGGAATGCAGGTGGCCTTTAGGGGCTGGAGAAGTCAATGGAACTGATTCTCCCGAGTCTCCAGAGGGAATGCAGCCCTGCAGATGCCTTGATTGTAGCCCAGGAAGAACAGGGTCTGATTTCTGTCAACAGAAGTGTTCTCTCCCGCCGCCGTGTTTGTGATAATTTTCTGCAGCAACAACAGGAAACAACACAGGAATCCAGGTCAAGGACAAGTTAAAAAACCAAACAAGAGGGTTGGCTACCCTAAGGTCAGCAAGGGTGCACTGCTGATGCCACCACCAGGCTGGAGCTGCATAGGGAGGGATCCACAGGGAGAGTCGGGGGTGGAGGGTGAGAGAGAGAGAGAGCATTAGGTCATAGAGCAGGGGAGTGAGTTCTCAGCTCAGGTGTGAGGGGAGCTGTGACAAGGAAGAACCTCCCTGAGGAAACTGCCTCTTCTTCCAGGTCTATTTGGGAAACCTTCACTCTCAGCCCAGCCGGGCCCCACGGTTCGCACAGGAGAGAACGTGACCTTGTCCTGCAGCTCCAGGAGCTCATTTGACATGTACCATCTATCCAGGGAGGGGAGGGCCCATGAACCTAGGCTCCCTGCAGTGCCCAGCGTCGATGGAACATTCCAGGCTGACTTTCCTCTGGGCCCTGCCACCCACGGAGGGACCTACACATGCTTCAGCTCTCTCCATGACTCACCCTATGAGTGGTCAGACCCGAGTGACCCACTGCTTGTTTCTGTCACAGGTGAGGAAAGCCCATGCCTGTCCCATGTCCTGTGATCCTAGAGCCTTAGCTGAGGAGCTTCCTGCTGATGATGGAGAGAAGCATGGACAGATGCAGAGAGAACACGCAGCATGGTGTGAGGGAGGGATCAGGGCACAGGATGGCAGACAGGGCACCTCCAAACCCTCCTGCACGGCCTGCATGGAGGCCCGCGGCCAGGGCTCCAGGCACCCAGGCAGATGGAGAAAGTGGTCAGGACAGACCCAGAGGAGGGAGACTCGGCTCAGTTTGGGGAGATCAGAGGCTCCTCAGACCCTCAACCTTACCCATTTCCCAGAAGCCCATACTGGCCTCTCACCCACACAGAGATGTCATCACCAGCAACCCCTACACCCTTTTCTTTCCGTTTGAAAAAACATTTATTGAGGTTAAATGTAACTATATAATTTGCCACCTTTACCATTTTTAAAAGTAAAATCTAGTGGTCATAAATTCCTTTATATGCAGGGTGCAGTGGCTCACAGTTATAATCTCGGTGCTTTGAGAGGCCAAGGAAGGTGGATCATTTAAGATCAGAGGCTCGAGATCAGCCTGGCCAACATGAGGGAAATTCATCTTTACTAAACAGACAAGAAAAATTGGCTGGGCATGCTGGCATGCACCTGTATTCCTAGCTACATGGGAGGCTGAGGCAGGAGAAGTACGTAAGCCCAGGAGGCAGAGGTTGCACTGAGCTGAGATCAGGCCACTGCACTGCAGCCTGGGAGACAGAGAGAGATTCTGTCTCTAAATAAATAAATACATCTATATTCTTTTTTATTGTTGTTGTTACACTCCACCCTTTACTTCCTGCCCTCTGGTAGCCACCATTCTACTCTCTACCTTCATGAGATCCACCTTTTAGCTCCTGTATATGGGTGAGAAATGGGAATCTTTGCAATGACCTCCAGTTCCATCCATGTGGCTGCAAATGTCAGGATGTTATTCTTTCTACGGATGAGTACTCTCCACTGTGTGTGTGTACTACATTCTCTCTATCCATTCACCCACTGACGGGCAGGTAAGTTGACTCCACATCTTGGCTACTGTGAACAGTGCTGCACCAATCGTATGAGTGCAGATATCACTTCGATACACTGATGTCCTTCCCTTTGGGTTTACACCCAGTAGTGGAATTGCTAGATCCTATCAACAGGGTACCAGGGTTCTCCTTTCTCTACCACCTTGCCAGCATTCATTTTGTCTGTGTTTCAGATAAAAGCCACTTTAATGGGATGAGATGATAGCTCACTGTGATTTCAATTGGCATGATTAGTGATACTGAGCACTTTTTCATGTACATGTTCGCCATTTGTACGTTTTGTTTGTTGAGAAATGTCTGTTCAGGTCTTTTACTAATTGTTAAATTAAATTCATTGTTTTATACCGTTGCTTGAGTTTTATGTATATTCTAGTTATTAATCCCCTCTCAGATGCATACTTCACAAATATTTTCTCCCAATTTGTCTCTTCTTCACTTTGTTGGTTGCTTCCTTTGCGGTGCAGAAGCTGCTTACTTTGATGTAATCCCGAAGGTCTATTATTTTGTTTTGATTTCTTGTGTTTTTGAGATTTCAAATAAAATGTCTTTCCTCAGACAAATGTCCTGGAGCATTTCCCCACTCTTTCCTTTTAGACGCTTAATGGTTTCAGGCCTTAAGTGTTTCTTCCATTTTCATTTGATTTCTGTGTATGGTGAGAGGTAGAGGTGCAGTTTCATCAACTGCATGTAGATACCAGTTTTCCCTGCTCCATTTATTGAAAAGACCGTCGTTTCCTGATTGCAGGTTCTTGGCACCTACAATCGTCAAAGTCCATTGGATGTGAATGCATGAATTATATCTGTGTTCTTCATTCTGCTCCATTGCTCTAAGGGCCTTTATGCCAATGTCATGCTGTTGTGCTTACTACAGCTTTGTAACATATTTTTAAGTCAGGGAGTGTGAGGCCTCCAGCACCTGTTTTGTCTTTATACCTCGAAATCTCAGGACACTGGGCATCATTTAACAATGATGATGGAGAAGGGGACGCCAGGACTCCTAGGGCCCAACATTAGATAACAGAGTGTTGGCCATGAACCAACCTCAAAGATTTCCTTTGAGTAGAAGACAGGCATCCTCATTTCCTCACCTCTCTCCTGTCCTGTGTTCTAGGAAACTCTTCAAGTAGTTCATCTTCACCCACTGAACCAAGCTCCAAAACTGGTGAGTAAAGATCCCTCTTATCTCTGCTTTTGGAAACCTGGGGAGGTTGGTATCTTGGATTCAAGCATTGGCTCAGCACCTCCCAGCTCTGTGATTGTGGGCCTGTCTTCTAACATCTCTGACCCCCAGACACTACAACAGCGAAGGGTATCTGAGGACAGCAAAGGGCTCAGTGAAGTCTCTTCATTTCAAATTTCTGCAGCTGAGACCTCCTCCAAGCTAGACGGACGAGTACAAATCTGACATCCTTCTCAGGGATAATGTGGTGTTTTTTCTGCCTGCATTCCAAATTGGAGGATAAATTCGAGGGGACTTGAGAGAGGGAGGGGAAGGGAACATCTGATGAGGGAAAGGTGATTTAGAGAAGTTCCACTTGCCAAGGAATGAGCCCCTGTTGGTCATGATGCGACCTTGGCTGAGTCAGCAGAGCAAGAGCCTTGCAGTAAGAAGGAACGTAGTTCATCCACGAATATGACACTTCCACTCACTCACTTATTCAGCCACTGCCCTGTGCTCTGACTGTACAGTGTGGAACCCTTTCCTGCTGTTGCCATAATAAATCTCCACAAACTTCATGGATGACAACAACACAGCTTTTAAAATTATCTTACAGTGTTATAGCTCAGAAATATGAAATGCATTTCACTGGGCTAAAATCAAGGTGACTGCGAGGCTGCCTTTTCTCTGAAGGTTCCAGGCGAGAATCGGCTTTTCACATTTCCCAGCTCCCAGAGGTTCCCACGTTCCTTGGCATCTGGTCCCCATCCTCCTTCCTCGAAGTCCACAAAAGCTCGTCACATCTCTCACGTGGCATCACTCAGATCCCTCTTCCTTACCTCACCTCTTTCTCTAAGTGTTGCTCTGACTTTTTCTTCCTCTTTTAAAGACTTTGGGATTCTATTGAGTTTACCAAGATAATCCATCACAATCTCCCTAAAATCACCCAAGATAACCTCTTTTTAAGTTCAGCTGATTAGCAACCATAATTCCATCTGCAATCTTTATTCCTCCTTTCATGTAAAATAACATATTCACAAGCTATGGAGGCTAGGACAGGGACATTTTGGGGGTGGGCCAGCATTCTCCTGCCTTCCACAAATGGTAAACACGATGCATTTGGCCTCTGCTCTTAGGACACTGACATTGCAGATGGGCAAATGGGAGGGCAGAATATGAATGCACAAGTGGACCAGTAATGATTGATCCATTGGGAAGCATCCGTGCATGAAATCTATTTACCTATTTATTTATCTATTTATCTATTTATGTATTTATTTATTTGCGGCGAAGTCATTCTCTGTCCCCGGGCTGGAGTGCAGTGGCATGACCTCAGCTCACCACAACCTCCGCCTCCCGGGTTCAGGCGATTCTCCTGCCTCAGCCTCCTGACTAGTTGTGATTCCAGTCCCCTCCACCACACCCAGCTAATTTTCTTTTATATTTTTTAGTAGAGATGGAGTTTCACCATGTTGCGCAGATTGTCTCCAACTCCCAACCTCAAGTGATCCGACCGTCTCAGCATCCCAAAATGCTGGGACTCAAGGCGTGAGCCACTGCGCCCAGCCGAAATTTAAAATAAATAATAAAGAATTCTAAGTGTATAATTTCAGGAGACAGAGAAAGTCTCACTAATCAGATAATATTTGTGACCATAATGAAAAAAAAAAGTAGATTCAACCCCTGGAAGATGGGCGGAAGGATTTTCCACACACAGCTGTCAGCCGTGAAGGCACAAATGTGAAAACAATCTGATGTGGAAGGAAGAGGCTCTGCATTCAAATGCTGGGAATGACGTGGGGAGAATGACAAGATGACTGTAGGGAGACGGAGAGCACACTGGGTACACAGGAAACTAAGGAGCAACAAGGAGCGTGTGTTTGACACTCACAGCCATTGGATTCACCTCGGGGTAACCAGGAATCCCTACATGATTAATATGACTGACATGAAAATAAGGGACGCCCAAGTGCGTAACTGGAATCTAGGAGACCGTGGAAAAGGCAATTCCCGCCCCACTGGTGAAATGTGGTGCTGATTTAGACACTAAATGAATGAAGTAGATGGGTATAAGATATGTCTGTGAGGTAGAATCATTTGTAGGGAGGTCTTGCTGGATTTGATAATGCCTACTTATTTAATTTTGAATATATTAATTTCTTTCTGAGATTTATTTTTCCTACATGTAAATCAATATCTGGCAGAGGAGTGATAGATAGATGAGGGGTGGTGCAAATGAAGGGACTTATTATAGCATAATATACAAGTCTGTGAATGGGAGCTTACGCCTGTAACCCAACACTTTGGGAGGCCAAGGCGTTTGGATCACTTGAGGTCAGGAGTTTGAGACCAGCCTGGCCAACATGGAGAAACCCCATGCTCTTTTTAGCAACCAGTCCTAGGGACCTCATGGAGAACTTGCCAACCACGTCTCATGGGGACAGCATTAATGTATTCATGATGGATCCACCCCCATAACTGGAACGTCTCTCAATAGGCCCAGCCTCCCACACTGCGAGATAAGTGTCAACGTGAGGTTTGGCGGGGTCAAACATTCAAACTATAGCAGTGGTATCCCCAGCATGTTCTCTGATTATTTTGAGAACTATAACTGAGAAAGCAGGAGAAAGCTGGGTATCCTGCCATCGGGGAACTTGTCCTAAACAGATGTTGTATGTGCTTAGCTGGCAACCAAGAAATGAGAGACAATCCATAAAGAGGAACTGCTATAATTAGCTTCTTATTGGATTCCCACCTTCCCCCAGGTATCCGCAGACACCTGCACATTCTGATTGGGACCTCAGTGGCTATCATCCTCTTCATCATCCTCTTCTTCTTTCTCCTTCATTGCTGCTGCTCCAACAAAAAGAGTAAGTCTCACGAAGCAGAGGTCAGAGAGCTCAGGACCATGTGGGGAAGCAGGATGGGAGCACACTGGTGTGTGTTCCTGACTGGCAGGATGGTCCCTGGACCAAGGCAGGAGCCACAGAGGCAGGGCTTTCTAGAGAGAGCACCAGACACCCTGCCCCTGCCTTCAGCTCACAGACCATTGCCTGATTCTGAACTGTATCCTCACGTCCCCTGCAGCCACTGACATCCAGGAGAAGGTTCCATGACAGGCAGAAAGGGGAGACAGAATCACTGGGATGGGAACTCAGAGCTATTCATGGGATGGGTCCTTGAGCTCAGAGAGATAGAATGTCTGGGTCTGGCTGATGACAGCTGAGGGACCTCAGGCACCTACGGCCTCCCGCTGTGTGTTGGTGTCTGCTCATGAAATGAGGACCCAAAAGTGCCCTTCCAGCTGTTTTGATGACTTCTATCTCCTACAGATGCTGCTGTAATGGACCAAGAGCCTGCCGGGGACAGAACAGTGAACAGGGAGGTAGGTTCTCCTCAGCCCAGCCTCATGGATTGAGTCTCATTCCCTAATAGTCTTGAAGAATGTGAGCACCCTCCCTCACTCAGCATTTCCCTCTCTCCAGGACTCTGATGATCAAGACCCTCAGGAGGTGACATATGCACAGTTGGATCACTGCGTTTTCACACAGACAAAAATCACTTCCCCTTCTCAGAGGCCCAAGACACCTCCAACAGATACCACCATGTACATGGAACTTCCAAATGCTAAGCCAAGATCATTGTCTCCTGCCCATAAGCACCACAGTCAGGCCTTGAGGGGATCTTCTAGGGAGACAACAGCCCTGTCTCAAAACCGGGTTGCTAGCTCCCATGTACCAGCAGCTGGAATCTGAAGGCATCAGTCTTCATCTTAGGGGATCGCTCTTCCTCACACCACAAATCTGAACATGCCTCTCTCTTGCTTACAAATGTCTAAGGTCCCCACTGCCTGCTGGAGAGAAGACACACACCTTTGCTTAGCCCACAATTCTCTATTTCACTTGACCCCTGCCCACCTCTCCAACTGAACTGGCTTACTTCCTAGTCTACTTGAGGCTGCAATCACACTGAGGAACTCACAATTCCAGACATACAAGAGGCTCCCTCTTAACATGGCACTGAGACACGTGCTGTTCCACCTTCCCTCATGCTGTTTCACCTTTCCTCAGACTATTTTCCAGCCTTCTGTCAGTCAGCAGTGAAACTTATAAAATTTTTTGTGATTTCAATGTAGCTGTCTCCTTTTCAAATAAACATGTCTGCCCTCATTGCTTTAGGTAATGTGACACTATTCGCTGAAAGAAACCGCTGTTATCATTACCATGTCCACATAACCCCATCTGTTATCCACTGGGTTCTCTCCCCTGGACTCTGAGCTTCTGGAAGCAGGGTGGAGCCTCATTTGTCTCTGGGACTCCAATTTCCATCCAAAGATGCAGCACATAGGAGGTTCCAAGGATCATGAATCACATGAACAAGTGATATTCTTACTCTCTGCAGACCTGGAAAGCTGGCAGAGTCATTCCACGATGAAACATTTGTAGAGTCATAGGCCTTGTTAGTCTCATCTCCATGGGGACACATATCAACACATCATCTTTCATGCTATATATATATATACAGTCGCTCCTCCGTATCTGTGGGGTTTACAGGTGTTTATTGAACCAACTATAAATAAAAAATATTCAGAGAAGAAAATCCACAAACTTTCAAAAAGCAAAACTATGTTGAAGGGACACAAATGAAGCAGTGTGTAGGCCATATCAGGAATTATAAGTAATCTAGAGATGATTTCATGTACACAGGAGGATGTGCATGGGTTATATGCAAATGCTGTGCCATTTCATGTAAGAGGCTTGAGCATCTGCAGATTTTGGTATCTGAGTGGAGATCCTGAAACCAATCACCCAGGAATAGTGAAGGATGACCGTATAAAACTGTTATTTCTCAATTTTAAATATAAATCATAAAAAAATTATAAACTAGATAAAAACAAGAAGTGTTTTTATAGTGTGAGAATAAGTTTAGATTTATTTTTTCCTACGTGTAACCCTTTGGTTTAATATTATTTATTGAGAAGACATTCTATGCCACCTTAAACCACAGGGCAGCCTTTGTCAACTCTAAAGGGACTGTGTGTACACGGATGTATTTTAGACACTGTTTCTGCTAAGGGGCTCTCTGTGTCCACACTCTTGAGGATGCTGCACTTCATGTAGCCTTATAGAACCCTTTAAATTTAGTAGCCAGAGCCCTCTAATTTGTTATTATAGGCTACTTGCTATTTTTTTTTTCTTAAGGCGGAATCTTGCTCTGTCACCCAGGCTGGACTGTAGTAGTGCAATCTCAGCTCACTGCAAACTCCGCCTCCCAGGTTCAAGCGATTCTCGTGCCTCAGCCTCTTGAGTAGCTGGCATTACAGGTGTCTGCCACCAGGCACGGCTAATTTTTGAATGTTTAGCAGAGACACGGTTTCACTATGTTGGCCAGGCTGCTCTCAAACTCCTCATCTCAGTTGATTCGCCCACCGCGGCTTCCCAACATGCTGGGGGAAACTTGATTTTCTATAGCATTATGTTACTGGATATTTCTGTAAAATTTAAAATGAGGGAGGGACAGAGACAGAGAGAGAGCAAACTCCAGAGTTGGGACTCTGGAATCTTGGGTCATGAGACAAATTATAGATAAAACTATAAAAATCCAGAATTTACATGTGTGGTTTTTGCTGATAAAGTACAATTCGAAGATTGTAAATAATTGCATAATCCTTCCCTGGGAATTTAAATCATTTTAACTGGTTCTGCTGTAATACTAGAAATACAAGCATGAAAAATTCTAATGGTTTATTAGTCACAATGACTCTGAAAACATTAATAATACCTATTAGATATTTTGCATATTACACATGAAGAAGAGTTTGAATCTCAGATAAAAACAATAAAAATACATGAAAAGTTTTTCACGTTAGCACAGATTTTAGGCATCCTGTGTTCCGGAGGTTGGATCTGAGACGTGTTTTGAGTTGGTCATAGTGAAGGACACGAGGTGTCAATTCTAGTGAGAACAATTTCCAGGAAGCCGTGTTCTGCTCTTGAGCGAGCACCCACTGGGCCTCATGAAAGGTAGAAAGAGCCTGCGTACGTCACCCTCCCATGATGTGGTCAACATGTAAACTGCATGGGCAGGGAGCCAAATAACATCCTGTGCGCTGCTGAGCTGAGCTAGGGGTGCGGCCGCCTGTCTGCTCCGGCACCACCATGTCGCTCATGGTCATCAGCATGGCATGTGTTGGTGAGTCCTGGAAGGGAATAGAGGGAGGGAGCGCGGGGATGGAGATCTGGGCCCAGAGGTGGAGATATAGGCCTGGAGGTGGAGTTATGGGCCTGGAGTGGAGATATGGGCCTGGAGGTGGAGATATGGACCTGGAGTGGAGATATGAGCCTGGAGTGGAGATATGGGCCTAGAGTGGAGATATGGGCCTGGAGGTGGAGATCTGGGCCTGGAGTGGAGATCTGGGCCTGGATTGGAGATATGGGCCTGGAGTGGAGATATGAGCCTGGAGTGGAGATATGGCCCTGGAGTGGAGATAGGGGCCTGGAGTGCAGATATGGGCCTGGAGTGGAGATGTGGGTCTGGAGTGCAGATATGGGCCTGGAGGTGGACATAAGGGCCTGGAGTGGAGATATGGGCCTAGAGTGGAGATATGAGCCTGGAGATGGAGATATGGGCCTGGAGTGGAGATATGGGCCTGGAGGTTGGAGATATGGGCCTGGAGTGGAGATATGGGCCTGGAGCGGAGATATGGGCGTGGGGTGGAGATATGGGCCTTGAGTGGAGATATGGGACTGAAGTGGAGATATGGGTGTGGGGTGGAGATATGGGACTGGAGTGCAGATATGGGCATGGGGTGGAGATATGGGACTGGAGTGGAGATATGGGCGTGGAGTGGAGATATGGGACTGGAGTGGAGATATGGGCGTGGGGTGGAGATATGGGCCTGGAGTGGAGATATGGGCGTGTGGTGAAGATATGGGCCTGGAGTGGAGATATGGGCCTGGAATGGAGATATGGGCGTGGGGTGGAGATATGGGACTGGAGTGGAGATATGGGCCTGTTGTGGAGATATGGGCTTGGAGTGGAGATATGATCCTGGAATGTAGTTATGGGCCTGGAGGTGGAGATCTGGGCCCGGGGTGGAGATATGGGCCTGGAGTGGAGATATGGGCCTGGAGAGGAGATATGGGCCTGGAGTGGAGATATGGGCCTGGACTGGAGTTATGGGCCTGGGGTGGAGATCTGAGCCTGGATTGCAGATGTGGGCCCAGATTGGCTATATGGGCCTAGGGTGGGAATATCAGCCTGGAGTGGAGATATGTGCCTGGAGTGGAGATATGGGCTTGGGGTGGGGATATGGGCCTGGAGGCTGGGTCTCTGCACAGCCGAGAGCCCTGTTCTTGGGTGCAGGTAGGCACTGAGGGTGAGTTTCCCTTCGGCCCAGGAAGGGCCTGGCTACCAAGACTCACAGCCTAGTGGGGATAGCAAGGGAGGCCTGGTTTGCCTGCAGATGGATGGTCCATCATGGTCTTTCTTTCCAGGGTTCTTCTGGCTGCAGGGGGCCTGGCCACATGAGGGTAAGTCCTTCTCCAAACCTTAAGGTGTCATCTCCCCACATAAGAGGATTTTCCTGAAACGGGAGGGAAGTCCTGTCGGGGAGTCTCTCTTAAACTAGAAAGAGGGGACCCTGGGGTGCTTGGCCCACAGTTCCGACCTCGCCTCCCCAGCCTTTCATTTCCTTGGCAGAGTCAAGTTCTGTGGGGACCAGGGTTACACTAGGGTGCTCAAAGCTGGGTTGTGTGGTGGGGAAGTGGTAGGAACAGCAGATCCTCTGAGGACAAAGGTGTTACTCACACACTTCAGCGTTTCCATGATGGTAGGGGCTGCAGTGTGGCTGCTCTCATTCTACCAGAAGAGGTGGGAAACCACAGCCATGGCCCTGACATTCCAAATCCTCTGATGGGGGCTCAGTTGTTTATTTTCATTCAGGCATCTGCTGATATTCCATTCTCAAAGGACATGCCCTCCACCCCATGTCTACCCTGTGTTGTTTTATGTGAGTAATCTTACAGTATTAAAATCTAGTAGGAGTCTCTTACTCAGCACTTGCTCAAAGTTCTCAGCTGACATTTTTGTTGTAGGGAGACACCTTGTCTTTGTGGGATGAGTCCTTCCTTTAGCCCTAGGCACCAAGGTGTGATAGCAGCCATAGAAATGTGGAAAGTGGGGAGAATCTTCTGAGCACAGGGAGGGAGGGGCGGCTGCACATCCTCCTCTCTAAGGTGGCGCCTCCTTCTCCCCAAGGTGGTCAGGACAAGCCCTTGCTTTCTACCTGGCCCAGCCTTGTGGTGCCTCCAGAACATGTGACTCTTCGGTGTCACTCTAATCTTGGGTTTAACAACTTCAGTCTGTACAAGGATGATGGGGTGCCTGTCCCTGAACACTACAACAGAATATTCTGGAAAAGCCTTTTCATGGGCCCTGTGACCCCGTCACACACAGGGACCTATAGATGCCGGGGTTCACACCCACACTCCCCCAGTGGGTGGTCGGCACCCAGCAACCCCCTGCTGATCATGGTCACAGGTCAGAGGGCTCCTGTCTGGGATTCTCCTTGTCCCACCTCCTGAATCCCAGAGCTTCCGGTAGGCATGTCCTTGAGGGTCCCTTCACGCAGGCCCTGACTGTATTTGGGGTAAAGGGGGATTGAATACAGGGAAATGGGTACTGTGGTGAGAAGAATAATTGTCCCCAGTGATGACTACATTCTAATCCCTGGAGTCTGTGACTATTTATGTTATAGGGGAAGGGACTGAAGGGGAAGATGGAGCTCAGGTTGTTGATGAGTTGACCTTGAGATGGGAGAAGGCCTGGACTGTCCCCCTGGGCTCAGTGTAGTCACAAGGGTCCACATGAAAGGAGGAGGAAGAGGAGAGTGGGGATTAGAGCAGCATAATGGGAGTCTCCATCAGCTTTGAAGGTGGAGGAAGGCCAGGAGCCATGAATGCAGGTGGCCTATAGAGGCTGGAAAAGTCAAGGAACTGATTCTCCTGAGTCTCCAGAGGGAACGAAGCCCTGCAGGTGCCTTGATTTTAGCCCAGGAAAAACAGGGCCCGACTTCTGCCTCCAAAAATGGAAGGGGTCAGTGTGCTCTCTCCTGCTGCCATGCTGCTGATAATTTTCTACAGCAGCAACAGGAAACCAACACCGGAACCCAGCTCGAGGAAAAGTTAAGAAAGGACACAAGGATAGCCGGGCGTGGTGGCAGGTGCATGTAATCCTAGCGACTTGGGAGGCTGAGGGCAGGAGAATCACTTGAACCCAGGAGACAGAGGTTGCAGTGAGCCTAGACCACACCACTTCACTCCAGCCTGGGCAAAGGAGTGAGACTCTGTCTCCAAAATTAATTAATTAAAGAAACCAAACAAGGAGAAGGTTGGCTACACCAAGATCAGCAAGTGTGGGATTATGATGCCACCACCAGGCTCCATCCACATAGGGAGCGGTTGATACTCCTCCAACCAGCACCAGGAGCCAGGCTATGGAAGCTGGTACAGGCATGGCAAGAGTGGCTCCCAGTCCCCACCAGGAAAAGGGTGTGTGGACACTGGTGCCTGCCTTACTGTTCAGTTCATACCTCCTGCCAAGGATTCCAATTCGTCCAAAAGAGATTGAACCAGGCTGCTAAGAGCCTGGATGTGCAGCCTATCCTGGTTCCTCTTCCACCCCCACATAGACAGCAGGAAAGACATTAGTTCAAAATAGATACAACAGCCGAAGAGATGAGGCTGAGCCCAGCGGCAAGGCAATCAGAGGTTACTAGAGACAGAGGGACAGAGAAGAGGGAGGGAGACAGATGGAAGGACCTGTACCAGGAGTTATGGGCACAGAAAAGAACATGAAGACACAGAGAGGAAGGAGAGAGACAGACACCAGGGAGGGGAAGCCTCACTCAATCCAGGTGCCATGGATGGGATGATAAAGAGAGACACCTTCTAAATTCACAAACTCTCTTCCTAGGATTCCGCAGAAAACCTTCCCTCCTGGCCCACCCAGGTCGCCTGGTGAAATCAGAAGAGACAGTCATCCTGCAATGTTGGTCAGATGTCATGTTTGAGCACTTCCTTCTGCACAGAGAGGGGACGTTTAACGACACTTTGCGCCTCATTGGAGAGCACATTGATGGGGTCTCCAAGGCCAACTTCTCCATCGGTCGCATGAGGCAAGACCTGGCAGGGACCTACAGATGCTACGGTTCTGTTCCTCACTCCCCCTATCAGTTTTCAGCTCCCAGTGACCCTCTGGACATCGTGATCACAGGTGAGAGTGTCCAGACATTCTTCTCATTGTCATTCGGACACAGAGTGAATGATCCAGGACTTGGAGGCCCAGGTGGTTGTAAGGAAGATGAGCTTGGTATTCTTATGGAGAGAGACTGACTTGGTGAGGTCTGTACCAACAGAGACAGAGAAACAGGAGACACAAGTACAGACCAGGTGTCATAACAGAGGACAGACACAGGGGCCATTCCGAGAGTTAGAAAAGACAGAAGGAGTTAAAGGAGACAGACAGACAGACATGTCCCAGAGAGAGGTGTCCCTCCATGCTGACTTTGCTCAGAGACCTGGCACAGATTACAAGTTTCATTTCTGTTTTACCTCCACAAAGTGTTCTCTACCAGGAGAACCCAAGGACACCCATATTTCTGACCTGAGTTGGGCCCTGTGGCCTCAGGCCTTCTGGCACCTACAGATGCCGTGTTTATTCTGACACCTCTGCCTTCCAAGTAATGGAGAGTAATCGTCCCAGGATATCATGGCCCCAGAACACCAACCCCTGTATGCTGTGTGAACTTGTAGTCTCCAGACTGGATTCTGAGGCTCACATTCCAAATAACCCCACATATGAAAGGATCACTGAGAGGCACAGAGAAAAATCAGGAACACCAAAAAGCAAAGACATAAACACACAGAGAATGGGCCAGAGGAAGGAGATTGAGAGACTCACAGACACATAAAGAGAGAGAAAAGAGGGCAGAGGAGTGGTGAGAATGATGGAAGGGAGCAGAGAAAAGCACTAAAATTAGAGTCCTGAGGGAGAGGCACAAGGACATAGAAAGATGGAGATGTGGGGATGAATTGCAGAGATTCCAAAGAGAACTAGAGAGACCGAGAGGCAGAGCAAGACAGATGATAGATGGATAGATATAGATAGATGATAAATAGGTAGATGATAGATACTAGGTTATAGATACATAGATGATGATTGATTGATTCATTAATAGATGAGACGTAGAGATGATGATGAAGACAGATAGATAATACATAGAGATAGAGAGGCAGACAGAAGTCATAGAGAGAGAGATGATACATAGATATAGATAACAGATGATTGATGGATAGATAGACAAGTGATAGATACATAGATGATATATAGATATAGATGACAAGTAGAGAATTTGTAGATAGGCACCGAATAGATAAATAGATAGATCAACAGATAATAGATAGAAATATGCAGAAAGTTATGAACAGGACACAAAGTGAGAAACTTAGAATTTAAAAAAGTAACATCAAGTCAACCAATCCAAGGAGAGTCAGAGAGAATAAAACAATCCAAAAACGGAAAACATATCTAGAGGTGGGGAAGCGAGGTCAGAGACCTAGAGAGACAGAGAAGGTGGAAGGAGGAAATAGACATGAAGAGAGATGGGGTGGAGGGTGAGAGAGAGAGAGAGAGAGCATTAGGTCATAGAGCAGGGGAGTGAGTTCTCAGCTCAGGTGAAGGGAGCTGTGACAAGGAAGATCCTCCATAAGGAAAATGCCTCTTCTCCTTCCAGGTCTATATGAGAAACCTTCTCTCTCAGCCCAGCCGGGCCCCACGGTTCTGGCAGGAGAGAGCGTGACCTTGTCCTGCAGCTCCTGGAGCTCCTATGACATGTACCATCTATCCACGGAGGGGGAGGCCCATGAACGTAGGTTCTCTGCAGGGCCCAAGGTCAACGGAACATTCCAGGCCGACTTTCCTCTGGGCCCTGCCACCCAAGGAGGAACCTACAGATGCTTCGGCTCTTTCCATGACTCTCCCTACGAGTGGTCAAAGTCAAGTGACCCACTGCTTGTTTCTGTCACAGGTGAGGAAAGCCCATGGCTGTCCCATGTCCTATGATCCTAGAGCCTTAGCTGAGGAGCTTCCTGCTGAGGATGGAGAGAAGCATGGACAGATGCAGAGAGAAGATGCATCCTCGGTGTGAGGGAGGGATCAGGGCACAGGATGGCCGACAGGGCACCTCCAAACCCTCCTACATGGCCTGCATGGAGGCCCGCAGCCAGGGCTCCAGGCACCCAGGCAGATGGAGAAAGCGGTCAGGAGAGACCCAGAGGAGGGAGACTGGGCTCAGTTTGGGGAGATCAGAGGTTCCCTCAGCCCCTCAACCTTACCCATTTCCCAGAAGCCCATCCTGGCCTCTCACCCACACAGAGATGTCATCACCAGCAACCCCTACACCCTTTACTTTTGTTTGAAGAAATATTTATTGAGGATAAATATACCTATATAGCTTACCACCTTTAACATTTTTTTTTTTTTGAGGCAGAGTCTAGCTCTGTCCCCTATGCTGGAGTGCAGTGGCACAATCTCAGCTCACTGCAACTTCCGCCTCCTGGGTTCAAGCGATTCTCCTGCCTCAGCCACCTGAGTAGCTGGTGCTACAGGTGCGCACCACCACGCCAGGCTACTTTTTGTATTTTTAGTAGAGAGGTGGTTTCACCATGTTGGTCGAGCTGGTCTGCAACTCCTGACCACGTGATCCACCCGCATCTGCCTCCCAAAGTGCTGGGATTACAGGCATGAGCCACCACGCCCAGCCACATTTACCATTTTTAAGTGTAAAGTCTAGTGGTCATAAATACATTTATATATATATATATATATACATTTTTTTTACCCTCCACCCTTTTCTTCCTGCCCTCCAGTAGCCACCATTCTACTCTCTACCTTCATGAGATCCACCTTTTAGCTCCTGTATATGGGTGAGAAATGGGAATCTTTGTAATGACCTCCAGTTCCATCCATGTGGCTGCAAATGACAGGATGTTATTCTTTCTATGGATGAGTAGTCTCCACTGTGCGTATGTACTACATTCTCTCTATCCATTCACCCACTGATGGGCAGGTAGGTTGACTCCTCATCTTGGCTACTGTGAACAGTGCTGCACCAATCATACGAGTGCAGATATCACTTCGATATATTGATTTACTTTCCTTTGGATATAAACCCAGTAGTGAAATTGCTGGATACTATGAAAGTTCTCTTTTTTTTTTTTTTCTTTTTTGAGAAAGAGTTTCCCTCCTTAGCCCAAGCTGGAGTCAAAGTGGTGCGACCTTGGCTCATTGCAACCTCCGCCTCCTGGGTTCCAATGATTTTCCTGCCTCAGCCTCCCTAGTAGCTGGGATTACAGGTGCACGCCACCATGCCTGGCTACTTTTTGGTTTTTTTAGTATAGATGCGGTTTCCCCATGTTGGCTGGGCTGCTCTCAAACTCATGACCTCAACTGAGGTGCCCGCCTCAGTCTCCCAAAGTGCCGGGATTACAGGCCTGATCCACCACACCCAACCTCTTTTTAGTTCTTTAAAGGACTTCCATACTTTTCTCCGTAATCGCTGTACTAATTTACACTCCTCCCAACAGGGTACCAGGGTTCTCCTTTCTCTAGCACTTTGCCAGCATTTCTTTTGCCTGTCTTGCAGCTAAAAGCCATTTTATTTATTTCATTTTATTTTGAGATGGAGTTTTGCTCTTCTCACCCAGGCTGGAGTGCAGTGGCGCTATCTCGGCTCACCACAACCTCCACCTCCCAGGTTCAAGCGATTCTCCTGCCTCAGCCTCCCGAGTAGCTGGAATTACAGGCACACGCCACCACGCCCGACTAATTTTTGTATTTTTAGTAGAGACAGCGTTTCTCTATGTGGGTCATACTGGTCTCAAACTCCCGACCTTATGAGATTCACCCACCTCAGGCTCTCAAAGTTCTAGGATGACAGACGTGAGCCACCTCACCCGGCCTAAAAGCCATTTTAATGGGGTGAGATGAAAACTCACTTTGATTTTAATTTGCATTTCTCTGATGATGAGTGATACTGAGCACTTTTTCATATGTGGGGAAATTTCATGTCTTTTGCTCCTTTTTCAATTAAATCATTTGTTTTATTGAGTTGTTTGAGCTTCTTATATTTCTAGTTATTAATCCCATCTCAGATGCATAGTTTGCACATATTTGCTCCCAATCTGTGGGTTGTCTCTTCACTTTGTTGGTTTATTTTTAGCAGTGCAGAAGTTGCTTAGTTTGAGGTAATCCCAATGGTCTATTTTTGCTTCGATTACTTGTGTTTTCAAGGTTTAAAACAAAATGTCTTCCTTCAGACAAACGTCCTGGAGCATTTCCCCAATATTTCTTCTACGTGTTTCATAGGTTCAGGCCTTAGACTCACATCTTTAATCCATTTTCATTTGATTTTTGTGTATGGTGACAGGTAGAGGTGCAGTTTCATTCCTCTGCATGTAGATGTCCAGGTTTCCCTGCACTGTTTATTGAAAAGACTGTCCTTTCCTGATTGTGAGTTCTTGGCACCTTTGTCAAAGTCCATTGGATGGGCTGGGCTTGGTGGCTCACACCTGCAATTCCAGCACTTTGGGAGGCCGAGGCGGGTGGATTACCTGAGGCCAGGAGTTCAAGATCAGTCTGGCCGACGTGATGAAACATCGTCTCCACTAAAAATATAAAAATTAGCTGAGCATGGTGGTCAGCACCTGTAATACCACTACTCAGGAGTTTGAGGCAAGAGAATGATTGAACCCAGGAGGCTGAGGTTGCAGTGAACTGAGATTGCACCTCTGCACTCCAGCCTGAGTGACAGAGCAAGACTCCATCTCAAAAGAAAAAATAAAAAACCATTGGATGTAAATGCATGGAATATATCTGTGTTATTCATTCTGCTCCATTGTTCTATGTGCCTTTCTTTATGCCAATGTCATGCTGTTTTGCTTACTACAGCTCTGTAACATATTTTGAGATCAGGTAGTGTGATGCTCCTGTTTTCTCTTTATACCTTGAAGTCTCAAGACAGTGGGCGTCACATACAAAAATTATGGAAAAAAGGATCCCAGGACTCCCAGGGCCCAATATTAGATAACAGAGTGTTGGCCATGAACCATCCTCAAAGATTTCCACTGAGTAGAGGACAGACACCCTCATTTCCTCACCTCTCTCCTGTCTCATATTCTAGGAAACCCTTCAAATAGTTGGCCTTCACCCACTGAACCAAGCTCCAAAACCGGTGAGTACAGAACCCTCTTATATCCGCTTTTGGAAACCTGGGGAGGTGGAAACCTTGGATTCAGGCGTTGACTCAGCATCTCACAGCTCTGACATTGTACCCCTGTCTTCCACCATCTCCGAACTCCAGATACTCCTACAGCGAAAGGGATCTGGGCCCAACACAGGGCTCAGTGAAATCTCTTCATCTCTCATTTTATGGAGCTGAGACCTCCTACAAGCTAGAAGAATGATTGCCAATCTGACATCCTTCTCAGGAAAAATGCAATGTTTGTTCTGCCTGCATTCCTAACTGGAGGATAAATTCCTGGAGACTTGAGAGAGGGAAGGGAAGGGAACATCTGATGAGGGCGAGGTGTTTTAGAGAAGTTCCACTTGCCAAGGAATGAGCTCCTATAGGTCATGAAGCAACCCTGGCTGACTCAGCAGAGAAAGAGCCTTGCTGTAACAGAGAACAGAGCTCATGCACGCACACTTCGACTCACTGACTCATTCAGCCACGGCCCCATGCTCAGGCTGTGCAGTGTGGAAGCTTTTCCTATTGTTGCCATAACAAATTTCCACAAGATTCGTGGGTGAAAACAAAACGGTTTTTTAATTATCTTGCAGTGCTGTAGCTCAAAGTATGAAGTGCATCTCACTGGGCTAAAATCAAGGTGACAGCAAGGCTGCCTTCCCTCTGAGGATTCCAGGCAAGAATCTGCTTCTCACTTTTCTCAGCTTCTAGAGGCTCCCACATTCCTTCGCTCCTGGTCCCCTTCCTCCTTCCTCAAAGCCCACAAAGGCTGGTCACATCTCACATGGCATCACTCAGACCCTTCTTCCTTACCACACCTCTTTCTCTGAATGCTGCTCTCCCTTCTTCCTCATCTTTTGAAAACTTGGGGATTCTATTGGGTTCACCAAGATGAAAATCCATCATAATCTCCCGGAAATCATTCAGGATACCCTTGTTTTAAGTTCAGCTGATTAGCAACCATAATTCCATCTGCAATCTTCATTCCTCCTTTCCATGTAAAATAAGATATTCACAAGCTATGGAGGCTAGGACAGGGACATTTTGGGGTGGGACAGCATTCTCCTACCTTCCACAAACAGTGAACAAGATGCATTTGGCCTCTGCTCTTGGGACACTGATATTGCAGATGGTTAAATGGGAGGGCAGAAAATGAATGCACAAGTGGACCAATAAATGAATGATCCATTGGGAAGCATCTGTGTATGAAATCTATTTGTTTGTTTCTTCATTTGTTTATTGAGACAGAGTCGCCCTCTGTCTTCCAGGCTACAGTGCAGTGTCACCATCTTGGCTCACTGCAACCTGCACCTTCTGGATCCAAGTGATTCTCCTGCGTCAGCCTCTCAAGTAGCTGGGATTACAGGCAACTGCCACCATGCCCGGCTAATTCTTTTTGTATATTTTTTGTAGAGGATGTTTCACCATCTTCGCCAAGCTTCTCTGAAACTCCCAACCTCAAGTGATCCGACCGTCTCAGCATCCTAAAGTACTGGGATAACTGGCGTGAGCCACTGTGCCCAGCCAGAATTTAAAATAAATAATACATAATGCTGAGTGTATGATTTTGGGTGACAGAGAAGATCTCACTAATCAGATATTTGTGACATTAATGAAAAACACGGATTGAACCCCTGAAAGATTGGTGGAAGGATTTTCCACACACAGCTGTCAGCCGTGAACGCACAAAGGTGAAAATAATCTGATGTTGAAGGAAGAGGCTCTTCCTCAAATGCTGGGAATGACGTGGGGAGAATGACAAGACGACTGTGGAGAGACGGAGAGCACACTGGGTACACAGGAAACTAAGGAGCAACAAGGAGTGTGTGTTTGACACTCACAGCCATTGGATTCACCTCGGGGTAACCAGGAATCCCTACATGATTAATATGACTGACATGAAAATAAGGGAGGCCCAGGTGCGTAACTAGAATCTAGGAGACTGTGGAAAAGGCAATTCCCGCCTCACTGGTGAAATGTGGTGCTGATTTAGACCCTAACTGGGTGAAGCAGATGGATATAAGCTATGCTTGTGAGGTGGAATCATTGGCTGGAAAGGCTTGCTGGGTATGATTTTCCTAGTTGTCTAATCCTCGCTTAATTTCTTTCTGAGCTTTATTCCTACTACACATAAATCAATACCTGGCAAAGGAGTGACAGATATATGAGTGGTGGTGGAAATGAAGGGACCTATTATAGCATAATATACAAGTCTGTGAACGGTGGCTCACGCCTGTAACCCAGCACTGCAGGAGGCCAAGGAGGGTGGATCACATGAAGTCAGCAGTTCGAGACCAGCCTGGCCAACCTGGTGAAACCCTGTCTCTAGGAAAAACACAAAAATTAGCCGAGCATGGTGGTGCATCCCTGTAATCCCAGCTCCTACTCTGGAGGATGAAGCAGGAGAATGACTTCAACCCAGGAGGTGGAGGTTGCAGTGAGTGGAGATTGCATCACTGCACTCCAGCCTGGGTGACACAAGGAGACTCCGTCTCAAAAAATAAAAATAAGAAATGCATAAATATAAATATAATATAACACACGCAAATGACAAAGGGACCTGAATTCCAATCATGATTTTTCTATTTCTCTATAATTACTTCTTTGATCTTTTATCTTATCCATTAGGCAATGAGCCTAAAACCTCTTCCCTATTTGGCTTTCTGTGAGCATGAGATCATATAGAAAATGTGAAAGCCCGCTGAATCCTCCAGCACAGATCCTGGAATACACAAAGTGCTCTGTTCATCACAAAAAAAACATGCCCTCTCACCCAAATCCCCCACCTCACCCCTACTTCCAATCATCTGTGGAGATTCAGATAGACCATGGGGAGGTAAATTCTAATACTCCTTGGAGTGAGTCCAGATCTTGGAATCAGAGATCAGCGTCAGCACTAGCTCCTGCTCCCCTTTCCTACTAATTCACAGGAGGACAGGTGGTATTGAAGCAATAGATGGCCGAGGGGGTGGTCCTTCCCCCAGCCTCTGGGGTAGAACAGCAGCCTAACATGTGTCTCCGGAGATCACAAAGAGTAGCACGTTTCACATGGGCTTCAACACTGTTTCCTGGCCATTTGACATAAGAGAATTCTACTTCGCTTTTTTTATCTTGATTTCACTTTTGTTTCCTTTTCTTGGAGAATGCAAGTTGTTTGACTCAAGAATGCCCTGGATGTAGAAATCCTAAAGCACATTCGCTGTGTATCAATCCCAGTGCAGTCTTCCCAGAGAAGACTCTAAACACCTCCTGGACTGCACCTGGGCCTATGCCAATTCCTATCACTCACCGTCACTCCAGGGAGACAGAACACACAGAGAATACATTACACAGGCAGGTTCATTACTAACAGATAAGCAGCGAGTGACAACAGAAGCCTACATTTCAATGTGAGCCAGTCCCTCAAGGCTCAGAAAAGCTGCTCGGGACATATGGAGTCACCCCATTTGCAGTGTAGCTGGGGGAAGCCAGAAAGCAGCCCAGCCTGGGTTTTGTACCCTGGAGCCACAGGAAGCACTCAGCTAAAGCACTGCATGACGCCTTCCTCCAGGAAGAACAGGAAGACAGCCCAGGCTGTTCTGAGACATTCCTCCTGATCTCAGTACGTTGCTGTCGTAGTTTTTTTTTGTTGCTCTAAAGGAAAACTTGAGCCTCGGTAACTTCTAAAGAAAAGAGATCGGTTTGCCTCACCGTTCTGCAGGCTGTACTGGAAGCATGGTACCAGAATCTATTTCTTGTGACGGCCTCAGGCTGCTCCCACTCTGGCAGAAGGGAAGGAGGGTCTGTCTGTGCAGAGACCGCAGAGATCACACGGCAAGAGAGAGAGTAAGGGGGAGGGGGAGCGATGGAGCTTCCAAGCTCTTTTGAACAACCAGCTCTCCAGGAACTAATAGAGGGGGAACTTGCTAACCCCGTCTCCTTGGGACAGCATTGTTCTGTTCATGATGGATCCACCTCCATGACCCAAACACCTCCCAAGAGGCCCAACCTCCCACACTGGGGGTGAAATTTCCATGTGAGGTTTGAAGGGGTCAGACATCTCAACTAAAGTAGTTGTATCCTCAGCACGTTCTATGGTTACTATGAGAGCTATAACTGAGAAAGCAGGGGAAAGCTAGGTCTCCCACCATTTGGGTGCTTGTCCTAAAGAGACGTTGTATGTGGTTACCTGTCAATCAAGAAATGCGAGACAATTCATAAAGAGGAACTGCTATGATTAGCTTCTTATTGGTGTCTCCTCTTCTTCCAGGTAACCCCAGACACCTACACGTTCTGATTGGGACCTCAGTGGTCAAACTCCCTTTCACCATCCTCCTCTTCTTTCTCCTTCATCGCTGGTGCTCCGACAAAAAAAGTAAGTCTCACGAAGCAGAGGCCAGAGAGCTCAGGGCCATGTGGGGAAGCAGGATGTTAGCACGTGGGTGTGTGTTCCTCACAGGCAGGATGGTCCCTGGCCCAAGACAGGAGCCACAGAGGCAGGACTTTCTAGAGAGAGCACCAGACTCCCTGCCCCTGCCTTCAGCTCACAGACCATTGCCTGATTCTGAACTGTACCCTCACGTCCCCTGCAGCCACTCACATCCAGGAGAAGGTTCCATGACAGGCAGAAAGTGGGAGATAGAATCAATGGGATGGGAACTCAGAGCTATTCATGGGATGGGTCCTTGAGCTCAGAGAGATAGAATGTCTGAGTCTGCTGTTGGCAACTGAGGGACCTCAGGCACCTATGGCCTCCCCCTGTTTGTTGGTATCTGCTTATGAAATGAGGACCCAGAAGTGCCCTCCGAGCTGTTTTGTTGACTTCCATCTTCTACAGATGCATCTGTAATGGACCAAGGGCCTGCGGGGAACAGAACAGTGAACAGGGAGGTAGGTGCTCCTCGGCCCAGCCTCGTGGCTAGTCTTATTCCCAAAGAGTCCTGAAAAATGTGAGCACCCTCCCTCACTCAGCATTTCCCTCTCTCCAGGATTCTGATGAACAGGACCATCAGGAGGTGTCATACGCATAATTGGATCACTGTGTTTTCACACAGAGAAAAATCACTCCCCCTTCTCAGAGGCCCAAGACACCCCCAACAGATAGCAGCATGTACATAGAACTTCCAAATGCTGAGTCCAGATCCAAAGCTGTCTTCTGTCCACGAGCACCACAGTCAGGCCTTGAGGGGATCTTCTAGGGAGACAACAGCCCTGTCTCAAAACCGGGTTGCCAGCTCCCATGTACCAGCAGCTGGAATCTGAAGGCATCAGTCTTCATCTTAGGGCATCGCTCTTCCTCACACCACGAATCTGAACATGCCTCTCTCTTGCTTACAAATGTCTAAGGTCCCCACTGCCTGCTGCAGAGAAAACACACTCCTTTGCTTAGCCCACAATTCTCCATTTCACTTGACCCCTGCCCACCTCTCCAACCTAACTGGCTTACTTCCTAGTCTACTTGAGGCTGCAATCACACTGAGGAACTCACAATTCCAAACATACAAGAGGCTCCCTCTTAACACGGCACTTAGACACGTGCTGTTCCACCTTCCCTCATGCAGTTCCACCTCCCCTCAGACTATCTTTCAGCCTTCTGTCAGCAGTAAAACTTATAAATTGTTTTTAGTAATTTCAATGTAGTTTTCCCTCCTTCAAATAAACATGTCTGCCCTCATCGTTTCGGTAATGGGACTCTTTTCTTTCCTAAGGCTTCCGGTGTTATCATTACCATGTCCACATAACCCCATCTGTTCTCCACTGGGTTCTCACCCCTGGACTCTGAGCTTCTGGAACAGGGTGGACCCTGACTTGTCTCTGAGACTCCAATTTCCATCCAAAGATGCAGCACATAGGAAGTTCCAAGGATCGTGAATCACATGAACAAGTGATATTCTTACTCTCTGCAGACCTGGAAAGCTGGCAGAGTCATTCCATGATGAAACATTTGTAGAGTCATAGGCCTTGTTAGTCTCATCTCCACGGGGACACATGTCAACGCATCATCTTTCATACTATAAATATACAGTCGCTCCTCCGTATCTGTGGGGTTTACAGGTGTTTATTGAACCAAGTATAAATCAAAAATATTCAGAGAAAAAGCCCACAAAGTTCCAAAAAGCAAAACTGTGTTGAATGCACACAAATGAGGTGGTGTATAGGCTGTATCAGGAATTATAAGTAATCAAGAGATGATTTCATGTATACAGGAGGATGTGCATGGGTTATATCCAAATGCTGTGTCATTTTACGTAAGAGGCTTGAGCATCTGCAGATTTTAGTATCTGAGTGGAGATCTCGAAACCAATCACCCATGAATAGTGAAGGATGACGGTATAGGACTTTTATTTCTCAAATTTAAATATAAATCATAAAAAATGTACAATAACTAGATAAAAACTAAGAAGTGTTTTTATAGTGTGAGAATAAGTTTAGATTTATTATTTCCTATGTGTAACCCTTTGGTTTAATATTATTTATTGAGAAGACATTCTATGCCACCTTAAACCACACGGCAGCTTTGTCAACTAAAAAGGGACTGTGTGTACACGGATGTGTATTTTAGACACTGTCTCTGCTAAACGGCTCTCTGTGTCCACATTCTTGAGGATGCTCCACTTTATGTAGCCCCATAGAACCCTTTAAATTTAGTAGCCAGAGGCCTCTAATTTGTTATTATAGGCTATTTGCTATTTTTATTTTCTTGAGGCGGAGTCTTGCTCTGTCGCCCAGGCTGGACTGCAGTGGTGCAATCTCAGCTCACTGCAACCTCCGCCTCCCAGGTTCAAGCGATTCTCGTGCCTCAGCCTCTTGGGTAGCTGGCGTTACAAGTTCCTGCCACTGGGCACGGCTAATTTTTGGATTTTTAGCAGAGACACGGTTTCACTGTGTTGCCAGGCTGCTCTCAAACTCCTTATATCAGTTGATCCGCCCACCTCGGCTTCCCGACGTGCTGGGGGAAACTTGATTTTCTATAGCATTATGTTACTGGATATTTCTGTAAAATTTAAAATGAGGGAGGCAGAGAGACAGAGAGAGAACAAACTCCAGAGTTGGGACTCTGGAAACTTGGGTCATGAGACAAATTTTAGATAAATCTACAAAAATCCAGAGTTTAAATGTGTGGTTTTTGCTGATAACGTACAATTCAAAGATTGTAAATAATTGCATAATCCTTCCCTGGGAATTTAAATCATTTTAACTGGTTCTGCTGTAATACTAGAAATACAAGCATGAAAAATTCTAATGGTTTATTAGTCACAATGACTCTGAAAACCTTAATAATACCTATTAGATATTTTGCATATTACACATGAAGAAGAGTTTGAATCTCAGATAAAAACAATAAAAATACATGAAAAGTCTTTCACGTTAGCACAGATTTTAGGCATCTCGTGTTCAGGAGGTTGGATCTGAGACGTGTTTTGAGTTGGTCATAGTGAAGGACGCTAGGTGTAAATTCTAGTGAGAACAATTTCCAGGAAGCCGTGTTCCGCTCTTGAGCGAGCACCCACTGGGCCTCATGCAAGGTAGAATGAGCCTGCGTACGTCACCCTCCCATGATGTGGTCAACATGTAAACTGCATGGGCAGGGCGCCAAATAACATCCTGTGCGCTGCTGAGCTGAGCTGGGGCGCGGCCGCCTGTCTGCACCGGCAGCACCATGTCGCTCACGGTCGTCAGCATGGCGTGTGTTGGTGAGTCCTGGAAGGGAATAGAGGAAGGGAGTGTGGGGTTGGAGATCTGGGCCCAGAGGTGGAGATATAGGCCTGGAGGTGGAGTTGTGGGCCTGGAGTGGAGATCTGGGCCTGGAGTGGATATATGGGCCTAGAGATGGAGTGATGGGCCTAGAAGTGGAGATCTGGGCCTGGAGTGCCGATAGGAACCTGGAGGGGAGATAGGAGCCTGGAGTGGAGATATGGGCCTGGAGGTGGAGTTATAGGCCTATAGTAGAGATATGGGCCTGGAGTGGAGATTTGGGCCAGGAGTGGAGATATGGGCCTAGAGGTGGATATCTGGGCCTAGAGTGGAAATATGGGCCTAGGATGGAGATATGGGCCTGGTTGTGGAGATATGGGACTGGAGAGGAGATATGGGCCTAGAGTGGAGATATGGGCTTGGGGTGGAGATCTGGGCCTGGGGTGGAGATATGGGCCTGGAGGTGGAGTTACGGGCCTTCAGTAGAGATATGGGCCTGGGGTGGAGATATGGGCTTGGGGTGGAGATCTGGGCCTGGAGTGGAGATATGGGCCTGGAGGTGGAGTTACTGGCCTTCAGTAGAGATATGGGCCTGGTGTGGAGATATGGGCCTGGATTGGAGATATGGGCCTAGGGTGGAGATCTGAGCCTGGAGTGGAGATATGGGCCTGGATTGGAGATATGGGCTTACAGTGAAGATCTTGGCCTGGATTGGCGATATGGGCCTGGATTGGCGATATGGGCCTATGATGGAAATATCGGCCTGGAGTGGAGATATGGGCCTGGAGTGGAGATACAGGCCTAGGGTGGAAATATTGGCCTGGAGTGGAGATATGGGCTTCTGGTGGGGATATGGGCTTGTGGTGGGGATCTGGGCTTGGAGGCTGGGTCTCTGCACAGCCGACAGCCCTGTTCTTGGGTGCAGGTAGGCACTGAGGGTGAGTTTAACTTCAGCCCAGGAAGGGCCTGCCTACCAAGACTCACAGCCCAGTGAGGGCAGCAAGGGAGGGCTGGTTCGCCTGCAGATGGATGGTCCATCATGATCTTTCTTTCCAGGGTTCTTCTTGCTGCAGGGGGCCTGGCCACATGAGGGTGAGTCCTTCTCCAAACCTTCGGGTGTCATCTCCCCACATAAGAGGATTTTCCTGAAACAGGAGGGAAGTCCTGTCGGGGAGCCTCTCATAAACTAGGAAGAGGGGACCCTGGGGTGCTCGGCCCACAGTTCCGACCTCGCCTCCCTGGCCTTTCATTCCCTTGGCAGAGTCAAGTTCTGTGGGGACCAGGGTTAGACTGGGGTGCTCAAAGCTGGGGTGTGTGGTGGGGAAGTGGTAGGAACAGCAGATCCTCTGAGGACAAAGGTGTTACTCACACTTCAGCGTTTCCATGACGGTAGGGGCTGCAGTGTGGCTGCTGTCACTCCACCAGAAGAGGTGGGAAACCACAGCCATGGCCCTGACATTCCAAATCCTCTGATGGGGGCTCAGTTGCTTATTTTCATTCAGGCATCGGCTGATATTCCATTCTCAAAGGACATGCCCTCCACCCCATGTCTACCCTGTGTTGTTTTATGTGAGTAATCTTACAGTATTAAAATCTAGTAGGAGTCTCTTACTCAGCACTTGCTCAAAGTTCTCAGCTGACACTTTTGTTGTAGGGAGACACCTTGTGTTTGCGGGATGGGTCCTTCCTTTAGCCCTGGGCACCAAGGTGTGATAGCAGCCATAGAAACTTGGAAAGCGAGGAGAATCTTCAGAGCACAGGGAGGGAGGGGTGGCTCCACATCCTCCTCTCTAAGGCGGTGCCTCCTTCTCCCCAAGGTGGTCAGGACAAGCCCTTGCTGTCTGCCTGGCCCAGCTCTGTGGTGCCTCCAGGACATGTGATTCTTCGGTGTCATTCTTATCTTGGGTTTAACAACTTCAGTCTGTAAAAGGAAGATGGGGTGCCTGGCACTGAGCTCTACAACAGAATATTCTGGAAGAGCCTTTTCATGGGCCCTGTGACCCCAGCACACACAGGGACGTACAGATGTCGGGGTTCACACCCACACTCCCCCAGTGGGTGGTCGGCACCCAGCAACCCCCTGGTGATCATGGCCACAGGTCAGAGGGCTCCTGTCTTGGATTCTCCTTTCCCACCTCCTGAATCCCAGAGCTTCTGGTGGGCGTGTCCTTGAGGGTCCCATCACCCAGGCCCTGACTATATTTGGGGTAAAGGGGGATTGAATACAGGGAAATGGGTGCTGTGGTGGGAAGAATAATTGTCCCCAGTGATGACTACATTCTAATCCCTGGAGTCTGTGACTATTTATGTTATAGGGGAAGGAACTGAAGGGGAAGATGGAGCTCAGGTTGTTGATGAGTTGACCTTGAGATGGGGAGACAGCCTGGACTGTCCCGCTGGGCTCAGTGTAATCACAAGGGTCCACATGAAAGGAGGAGGAAGAGGGGAGTGGGGATTAGAGCAGCGCAATGGGAGACTCCACCAGCTTTGAAGGTGGAGGAAGTCCAGGAGCCATGAATGCAGGTGGCCTGTAGAGGCTGGAAAAGTCAAGGAAATGATTCTCCAGAGTCTCCAGAGGGAACGAAGCCCTGCAGATGCCTTGATTTTAGCCCAGGAAAAACAGGGTCCTATTTCTGTCTCCAGTAGTGAAATGGGTCAGTGTGCTCTCTCCTGCTGCCATGCTGCTGATAATTTTCTACAGCAGCAACAGGAAACCAACACTGGAACCCAGGTCAAGGACAAGTTAAGAAACAACACAAGGATAGCCGGGTGTGGTGGCAGGCGCATGTAATCCTAGCGACTTGGGAGGCTGAGGGCAGGAGAATCACTTGAACCCAGGAGACAGAAGTTGCAGTGACCCTAGACCACACCACTTCACTCCAGCTGGGGTGAAGGAGTGAGACTCTGATCTCCATAATTAATTAATTAATTAAAGGAACCAAACAAGGGGAAGGTTGGCTACACCTAGATCAGCAAGTGTGGGATGATGATGCCACCACCAGGCTCCATCCACATAGGGAGGGGTTGATACTCCTCAAACCAGCACCAGGAGCCAGCCTATGGAAGCTGGCACCATGGAGAAGGCACAGGCATGGCAAGAGTGGCTCCCAGTCCCGACCAGGAACAGGGTGTGTGGACACTGCTGCCTGCCTTATTCATCAGTTCATACCTCCTGCCAAGGATTCCAATTCATCCAAAAGAGATTGAACCAGGCTGATAAGAGGCTGGATGTGCAGCCTATCCTGGTTCCTCTTTCACCCCCACATAAACAGCAGGAAAGACATTAGTGTGAAATAGATACAACACCCCAAGAGATGAGGCTAAGCCCAGTGGGAAGGGAATCAGAGGCGACTAGAGACAGAGAGACAGAGAAGAGGGAGGGAGACAGATGGAAGGACCTGCACCAGGAGTTATGGGCACAGAAAAGAACATGAAGACACAGAGAGGAAGGAGAGAGACAGACACCAGCAAGGGGAAGCCTCACTCATTCTAGGTGCCATGGATGGGATGATAAAGAGAGACACCTTCTAAACTCACAACCTCTCTTCCTAGGAGTCCACAGAAAACCTTCCCTCCTGGCCCACCCAGGTCCCCTGGTGAAATCAGAAGAGACAGTCATCCTGCAATGTTGGTCAGATGTCAGGTTTGAGCACTTCCTTCTGCACAGAGAGGGGACATTTAACGACACTTTGCACCTCACTGGAGAGCACCATGATGGGGTCTCCAAGGCCAACTTCTCCATCGGTCCCATGATGGAAGACCTGGCAGGGACCTACAGATGCTACGGTTCTGTTACTCACTCCCCCATCAGTTGTCAGCTCCCAGTGACCCTCTGGACATCGTCATCACAGGTGAGAGTGTCCGGACATTCTTCTCATTGTCATTGGGATGCAGAGTGAATGATCCACGACTTGGAACCCCCAGGTAGTTGTAAGGAAGATGAGCTTGGTATTCTTATGGAGAGAGACTGACTTGGTGAGGTCTGTACCAACAGAGACAGAGAAACAGGAGACACAAGTACAGACCAGGTGTCATAACAGAGGACAGACACAGGGGCCATACCGGGAGTTAGAAAAGACAGAAGGAGTTAAAGGAGACAGACAGACAGACATGTCCCAGAGAGAGGTGTCCCTCCATGCTGACTTTGCTCAGAGACCTGGCACAGGTTAGAAGTTTCATTTCTGTTTTACCTCCACAAAGTGTTCTCTACCAGGAGAACCCAAGGACACCCATATTTCTGACCTGAGTTGGGCCCTGTGGCCTCAGGCCTTGTGGCACCTACAGATGCCGTGTTTATTCTCACACCTCTGCCTTCCATGTAATGGAGAGTAACCGTCCCAGGATATCATGGCCCCAGAACACCAACCCCTGTATGCTGTGTGAACTTGTGGTCTCCAGACTGGATTCTGAGGCTCACATTCCAAATAACCCCACATATGAAAGGATCACTGAGAGGCACAGAGAGAAATCAGGGACACCAAAAAGCAAAGACATAAACACACAGAGAATGAGCCAGAGGAAGGAGATTGAGAGACTCACAGACACATAAAGAGAGAGAAAAGAGGGCAGAGGAGTGGTGAGAATGATGGAAGGGAGCAGAGAAAAGCACTAAAATTAGAGTCCTGAGGGAGAGGCACAAGGACATAGAAAGATGGAGATGTGGGGATGAATTGCAGAGATTCCAAAGAGAACTAGAGAGACCGAGAGGCAGAGCAAGACAGATGATAGATGGATAGATATAGATAGATGATAAATAGGTAGATGATAGATAATAGGTTAAAGATACATAGATGATGATTGATTGATTCATTAATAGATGAGACATAGAGATGATGATGATGAAGACAGATAGATAATACATAGAGATAGAGAGGCAGACAGAAGTCATAGAGAGAGAGATGATACATAGATATAGATAACAGATGATTGATGGATAGATAGACAAGTGATAGATACATAGATGATATATAGATATAGATGACAGGTAGAGAATTTGTAGATAGGCACCGAATAGATAAATAGATAGATCGACAGATAATAGATAGAAATATGCAGAAAGTTATGAACAGGACACAAAGTGAGAAACTTAGAATTTAAAAAAGTAACATCAAGTGAACCAATCCAAGGAGAGTCAGAGAGAATAAAACAATCCAAAAAGGGAAAACATATCTAGAGGTGTGGAAGCGAGGTCAGAGACCTAGAGAGACAGAGAAGGTGGAAGGAGGAAATAGACATGAAGAGAGATGGGGTGGAGGGTGAGAGAGAGAGAGAGAGAGCATTAGGTCATAGAGCAGGGGAGTGAGTTCTCAGCTCAGGTGAAGGGAGCTGTGACAAGGAAGAGCCTCCGTAAGGAAAATGCCTCTTCTCCTTCCAGGTCTATATGAGAAACCTTCTCTCTCAGCCCAGCCGGGCCCCACGGTTCTGGCAGGAGAGAGCGTGACCTTGTCCTGCAGCTCCCGGAGCTCCTATGACATGTACCATCTATCCACGGAGGGGGAGGCCCATGAACGTAGGTTCTCTGCAGGGCCCAAGGTCAACGGAACATTCCAGGCTGACTTTCCTCTGGGCCCTGCCACCCACGGAGGAACCTACAGATGCTTCGGCTCTTTCCGTGACTCTCCCTACGAGTGGTCAAACTCGAGTGACCCACTGCTTGTTTCTGTCACAGGTGAGGAAAGCCCATGGCTGTCCCATGTCCTATGATCCTAGAGCCTTAGCTGAGGAGCTTCCTGCTGAGGATGGAGAGAAGGATGAACAGATGCAGAGAGAAGACGAAGCTTGGGTGTGAGGGAGGGATCAGGGCACAGGATGGCAGACAGGGCACCTCCAAACCCTCCTACATGGCCTGCATGAAGGCCTGCGGCCAGGACTCCAGGCACCCAGGCAGATGGAGAAAGCGGTCAGGAGAGACCCAGAGGAGGGAGACTGGGCTCAGTTTGGGAAGATCAGAGGTTCCCTCAGCCCCTCAACATTACCCATTTCCCAGAAGCCCATCCTGGCCTCCCACCCACACAGGGATGTCATCACCTGCAACCCCTACACCGTTTACTTTTGTTTGAGAAATATTTATTGAGGATAAATATAACTATATAGCTTACCACCTTTAACATTTTTTTTTTTGAGGCGGAGTCTAGCTCTGTCCCCTATGCTGGAGTGCATTGGCACAATCTCAGCTCACTGCAACTTCCGCCTCCTGGGTTCAAGCGATTCTCTTGCCTCAGCCACCTGAGTAGCTGGTGCTACAGGCGCGCACCACCATGCCAGGCTACTTTTTGTATTTTTAGTAGAGAGGGGGTTTCACCATGTTGGTCAAGCTGGTCTCGAACTCCTGACCACGTGATCCACCCGCATCAGCCTCCCAAAGTGCTGGGATTACAGGCATGAGCCACCACGCCCAGCCACATTTACCATTTTTAAGTGTAAAGTCTAGTGGTCATAAATACATTAATATATATATATATACACATATATTTTTTTTTACCCTCCACCCTTTTCTTCCTGGCCTCTGGTAGCCACCATTCTACTCTCTACCTTCATGAGATCCACCTTTTAGCTCCTGTATATGGGTAAGAAATGGGAATCTTTGTAATGACCTCCAGTTCCATCCATGTGGCTGCAAATATCAGGATGTTATTCTTTCTATGGAAGAGTAGTCTCCACTATGCAAATGTACCACATTCTCTCTATCCATTCACCCACTGATGGGCAGGTAGGTTGACTCCACATCTTGGCTACTGTGAAGAGTGCTGCACCAATCATACGAGTGCAGATATCACTTCGATATATTGATTTACTTTCCTTTGGATATAAACCCAGTAGTGAAATTGCTGGATACTATGAAAGTTCTCTTTTTAGTTTTTCGTTTGTTGTTTTGTTTTTGTTTTTGAGACAGTTTCCCTCTGTGCCAGGCTGGAGTACAAGTGATATGATCTTGGCTCATTGCAACCTCTGCCTCCTGGGTTCAAATGATTTTCCTGCCTCAGCCTCCCTAGTATCAGGGATTATAGGCGCACGCCACCATGCCTGGCTACTTTTTGTTTTTTTTAGTATAGATGCGGTTTCCCCATGTTGGCTGGGCTGCTCTCAAACTCATGACCTCAACTGAGGTGCCCGCCTCGGTCTCCCAAAGTGCCGGGATTACAGGCCTGATCCACCTCACCCAACCTCTTTTTAGTTCTTTAAAGGACTTCCACACTTTTCTCCGTAATGGCTGTACTAATTTACACTCCTCCCAACAGGATACCAGGATTCTCCTTTCTCTAACACCTTGCCAGCATTTCTTTTGCCTGTCTTGCAGCTAAAAGCCATTTTATTTTATTTCATTTTATTTTGAGATGGAGTTTCGCTCTTGTCACCCAGGCTGAGTGCAGTGGTGCGATCTCGGCTCACCGCAACCTCCACCTCCCAGGTTCAAGCGATTCTCCTGCCTCAGCCTCCCGAGTAGCTGGAATTACAGGCACACGCCACCACGCCCGACTAATTTTTGTATTTTTAGTAGAGACAGTGTTTCTCCATGTGGGTCAGACTGGTCTCAAACTCCCGACCTTATGAGATTCACCCACCTCAGGCTCTCAAAGTTCTAGGATGACAGACGTGAGCCACCTCACCCGGCCTAAAAGCCATTTTAATGGGGTGAGATGAAAACTCACTTTGATTTTAATTTGCGTTTCTCTGATGATGAGTGATACTGAGCACTTTTTAGTATGTGGGGAAATTTCATGTCTTTTGCTCCTGTTTCAATTAAATCATTTGTTTTATTGAGTTGTTTGAGCTTCTTATATTTCTAGTTATTAATCCCATCTCAGATGCATAGTTTGCACATATTTGCTCCCAATCTGTGGGTTGTCTCTTCACTTTGTTGGTTTATTTTTAGCAGTGCAGAAGTTGCTTAGTTTGAGGTAATCCCAATGGTCTATTTTTGCTTCGATTACTTGTGTTTTCAAGGTTTAAAACAAAATGTCTTCCCTCAGACAAACGTCCTGGAGCATTTCCCCAATATTTTCTTCTACGTGTTTCATAGGTTCAGGCCTTAGACTCACATCTTTAATCCATTTTCATTTGATTTTTGTGTATAGTGACAGGCAGAGGTGCAGTTTCATTCCTCTGCATGTAGATGTCCAGGTTTCCCTGCACTGTTTATTGAAAAGACTGTCCTTTCCTGATTGTGAGTTCTTGGCACCTTTGTCAAAGTCCATTGGATGGGCTGGGCATGGTGGCTAACACCAGCAACTTCAGCACTTTGGGAGGCCAAGGCTGGTGGATCACCTGAGGACAGGAGTACAAGATTACTCTGGCCGACGTGATGAAACATCGTCTCCACTAAAAATATAAAAATTAGCTGAGCATGGTGGTCAGCACCTGTAATACCACTACTCAGGAGTTTGAGGCCAGAGAAGTGATTGAACCCAGGAGGCTGTGGTGGCAGTGAACCGAGATTGCACCTCTGCACTCCAGCCTGGGTGACAGAGCAAGACTCCATCTCAAAAGAAAAACAAAAAATACATTGGAGGTAAATGCATGGATTATATCTGTGTTATTCATTCTGCTCCGTTGTTCTATGTGCCTTTCTTCATGCCAATGTCATGCTGTCTTGCTTACTACAGCTCTGCAACATATTTTGAGATCAGGTAGTGTGATGCTCCTGTTTTCTCTTTATACCTTGAAGTCTCAAGACAGTAGCCGTCACATACAAAAATTACGGAAAAAAGGATCCCAGGACTCCCAGGGCCCAATATTAGATAACAGAGTGTTGGCCATGAACCAACCTCAAAGATTTCCACTGAGTAGAGGACAGACACCCTCATTTCCTCACCTCTCTCCTGTCTCGTGTTCTAGGAAACCCTTCAAATAGTTGGCCTTCACCCACTGAACCAAGCTCCGAAACCGGTGAGTACAGAACCCTCTTATATCCGCTTTTGGAAACCTGGGGAGGTGGAAACCTTGGATTCAGGCGTTGACTCAGCATCTCACAGCTCTGACATTGTACGCCTGTCTTCTACCATCTCCGAACTCCAGATACTCCAACAGCGAAAGGGATCTGGACCCAAAACAGGGCTGAGTGAAATCTCTTAATCTCTCATTTTATGGAGCTGAGATCTCCTACAAGCTAGAAAAATGATTGGCAATCTGACATCCTTCTCAGGAAAAATGCAATGTTTGTTCTGCCTGCATTCCTAACTGGAGGATAAATTCCTGGGGGCTTGAGAGAGGGAAGGGTAGGGAACATTTGATGAGGGCGAGGTGTTTTAGAGAAGTTCCACTTGCCCAGGAATGAATTACTGTTGGTCATGAAGCAACCCTGGCTGACTCAGCAGAGCAAGAGCTTTGCCTTAACAGAGAACGGAGCTCATGCACGCACACTTCGACTCACTGACTCATTCAGCCACGGCCCCATGCTCAGGCCGTGGAAAAGGCAATTCCCAGCACTGCAGGAGGCCAAGGCGGGTGGATCACTTGAAGTCAGGAGTTCCAGACCAGCCTGGCCAAAATGGTGAAACCCTGTCTCTATGAAAAATACAAAAATTAGTCGAGCATGGTGGTGCATCCCTGTAATCCCAGCTCCTACTCTTGAGGATGAAGCAGGAGAATGACTTCAACCCAGGAGGTGGAGGTTGCAGTGAGTGGAGATTGCATCACTGCACTCCAGCCTGGGTGACACAAGGAGACTCCGTCTCAAAAAATAAAAATAAGAAATGCATAAATATAATAAAACACACACGAATGACAAAGGCACCTGAATTCCAATCATCATTTTTGTATTTCTCTATAATTACTTCTTTGATCCTTTGTCTTATCCATTAGGCAATGAGCCTAAAACCTCTTCCGTATTTGGCTTTCTGTGAGCATGAGACCATATAGAAAATGTGAAAGCCCGCTGAATCCTCCAGCACAGATCGTGGAATAGAGAAAGTGCTCTGTTCATCACAAAAAAAACTTGCCGTCTCACTCAAATCCCCCACTTCACCCCTACTTCCAATCACCTGTGGAGATTCAGATAGACCATGGGGAGGTAAACATTAATACTCCTTGGAGTGAGTCCAGATCTTGGAATGAGAGATCAGCACCAGCACTAGCTCCTGCTCCCCTTTCCTACTAATTCACAGGAGGACAGGTGGTATTGAAGCAATAGATGGTGGAGGGGGTGGTCCTTCCCCCAGCCTCTCAGGTAGAACAGCAGCCTAACATGTGTCTCCCGAGATCACAAAGAGTAGGACGTTTCACAGGGGCTTCAACACGATTTCCTGGCTGTTGGACATAAGATAACTCTATTTCGCTTTTTTATCTTGATTTCACTTTTGTTTCCTTTCCTTGGAGAACGCAAGTTGTTTGACTCAAGAATGCTGTGGATGTAGAAATCCTAAAGCACATTCGCTGTGTGTCAATCCCAGTGCAGTCTTCCCAGAAAAGACCCTAAACACCTCCTAGACTGCACCTGGGCCTACGCCAATTCCTATCACTCACCGTCACTCCAGGGAGACAGAACACACAGAGAATACGTTACATAGGCAGGTTCATTACTAACAGATAAGCAGCGAGTGAAAACAGAAGCCTACATTTCAATGTGAGCCAGTCCCTCAAGGCTCAGAAAAGCTGCTCGGGACATATGGAGTCACCCCATTTGCAGTGTAGCTGGGGGAAGCCAGAAAGCAGCCCAGCCTGGGTTTTGTACCCTGGAGCCACAGGAAGCACTCAGCTAAAGCACTGCATGACGTCCTCCTCCAGGAAGAACAGGAAGACAGCCCAGGCTGCTCTGGGACGTTCCTCCTGATCTCAGGACGTTGCTGTCTTAGTCCATTTTTGTTGCTCTAAAGGAACACTTGAGCCTGGGCAACTTCTAAAGAAAAGAGATTGGTTTGTCTCACCGTTCTGCAGGCTGTACTGGAAGCATGGCACCAGCATCTATTTCTCGTGATGGCCTCAGGCTGCTCCCACTCTGGCAGAAGGGAAGGAGGGTCTGTCTGTGCAGAGACCACAGAGATCACACGGCAAGAGAGGGAGCAAGGGGGAGGGGGAGTGATGGAGCTTCCAAGTTCTTTTGAACAACCAGCTCTCCAGGAACTAATAGAGGGGGAACTTGCTAACCCCGTCTCCTTGGGACAGCATTGATCTGTTCATGATGGATCCACCTCCATGACCCAAACACCTCTCAAGAGGCCCAACCTCCCACAATGGGGGTGAAATTTCAATGTGAGGTTTGAAGGGGTCAAACATCTCAACTAAAGTAGTTGTATCCTCAGCACATTCTATGGTTACTTTGAGAGCTATAACTGAGAAAGCAGGAGAAAGCTGGGTCTCCCGCCATCTGGGTGCTTGTCCTAAAGAGGTGTATTACGTGGTTACCTGTCAATCAAGAAATGCGAGACAATTCATAAAAAGGAACTGCTATGATTAGCTTCTTATTGGTGTCTCATCTTCTTCCAGGTAACCCAAGACACCTGCACGTTCTGATTGGGACCTCAGTGGTCATCATCCTCTTCATCCTCCTCCTCTTCTTTCTCCTTCATCGCTGGTGCTCCAACAAGAAAAGTAAGTCTTACGAAGGAGAGGCCAGAGAGCTCCGGGCCATGTGGGGAAGCAGGATGGGAGCACTCAGGTGTGTGTTCCTCACAGGTAGGATGGTCCCTGGCCCAAGGCAGCAGCCACAGAGGCAGGACTTTCTAGAGAGGGCACCAGACTCCCTGTCCCTGCCTTCAGCTCACAGACCGTTGCCTGATTCTGAACTGTATCCTCACGTCCCCTGCAGCCACTCACATCCAGGAGAAGGTTCCATGACAGGCAGAAAGTGGGAGACAGAATCAATGGGATGGGAACTCAGAGCTATTCATGGGATGGGTCCTTGAGCTCAGAGAGATAGAATGTCTGAGTCTGCTGTTGGCAACTGAGGGACCTCAGGCTCCTATGGCCTCCCCCTGTTTGTTGGTATCTGCTTATGAAATGAGGACCCAGAAGTGCCCTCCGAGCTCTTTTGTTGACTTCCGTCTCCTACACATGCTGCTGTAATGGACCAAGAGCCTGCAGGGAACAGAACAGCGAATAGCTAGGTAGGTGCTCCTCGGCCCAGCCTCGTGGCTAGTGTTATTCCCAAACAGTCCTGGAAAATGTGAGCACCCTCCCTCACTCAGGATTTCCCTCTCTCCAGGACTCTGATGAACAAGACCCTCAGGAGGTGACATACGTACAGTTGGATCACTGCGTTTTCACACAGAGAAAAATCACTCGCCCTTCTCAGAGGCCCAAGACACCCCCAACAGATACCAGAGTGTACACGGAACTTCCAAATGCTGAGTCCAGATCCAACGTTGTCTCCTGCCCATGAGCACCACAGTCAGGCCTTGAGGGGATCTTCTAGGGAGACAATAGCCCTGTCTCAAAACCGGGTTGCCAGCTCCCATGTACCAGCAGCTGGAATCTGAAGGCGTGAGTCTGCATCTTAGGGCATCGCTCTTCCTCACACCACAAATCTGAATGTGCCTCTCTCTTGCTTACAAATGTCTAAGGTCCCCACTGCCTGCTGGAGAGAAAACACACTCCTTTGCTTAGCCCACAATTCTCCATTTCACTTGACCCCTGCCCACCTCTCCAACCTTACTGGCTTACTTCCTAGTCTACTTGAGGCTGCAATCACACTGAGGAACTCACAGTTCCAAACATACAAGAGGCTCCCTCTTAACACGGCACTTAGACACGTCCTGTTCCACCTTCCCTCATGCTGTTCCACCTCCCCTCAGAGTATCTTTCAGCCTTCTGTCAGCAGTAAAACTTATATATTTTTTAAAATAATTTCAATGTAGTTTTCCCTCCTTCAAATAAACATGTCTGCCCTCATGGTTTCGGTAATGGGACTCTTTTCTTGCCTAAGACTTCCAGTGTTATCATTACCATGTCCACATAACCCCATCTGTTCTCCACTGGGTTCTCACCCCCGGACTCTGAGTTTCTGGAAGCAGGGTGGAGCCTCATTTGTCTCTGGGACTCCTATTTCCATCCAAAGATGTAGCACATAGGAGGTTCCAAGGATCGTGAATCACATGAACAAGTGATATTCTTACTCTCTGCAGACCTGGAAATCTGGCAGAGTCATTCCAAGATGAAACATTTGTAGAGTCATAGGCCTTGTTAGTCTCATCTACACAGGGACACATATCAACACATCATCTTTCACACTATAAATATACAGTCACTCCTCCATATCTGTGGGGTTTACAGTTCTTTATTGAACCGAGTATAAATCAAAAATATTCAGAGAAAGTATCCACAGAGTTACAAAAAGCAGAACTGTGTTGAATGGACACAAATGAAGCTGTGTGTAGGCTGCATCAGGAATTATAAGTAATCTAGAGATGATTTCATCTATAGAGGAGGATGTGCATAGGTTATTTGCAAACTCTGTGCCATTTCATTTAAGAGGCTTGAGCATCTACAGATTTTGGTATCTGAGTGGAGATCTCGAAACCAATCACCCAGGAATAGTGAAGGATGACCGTATATGACTTTTATTTCTCAAATTTAAATATAAATCATAAAAAATGTACAACTAGATAAAAACTAAGAAGTGTTTTTATAGTGTGAGTTAGATTTATTTTTTCCTAGGTATAACCCATTGGTTTAATATTATTTATTGAGAAGACATTCTATGCCACCTTAAACCACACGGCAGCCTTTGTCAACTCTAAAGGGACTGTGTGTACATGGATGTACTTTAGACACTGTTTCTGCTAAGGGGCTCTCTGTGTCCACACTCTTGATGATGCTGCACTTTATGTAGCCTTATAGAACCCTTTAAATTTAGTAGCCAGAGCTCTCTAATTTGTTATTATAGGCTATTTGCTTTTTTTTCTTGAGGCGGAGTCTTGCTCTGTCGCCCAGGCTGGACTGCAGTGACACAATCTCAGCTCACTGCAACTTCTGCCTCCCAGGTTCAAGCGATTCTCGTGCCTCAGCCTCTTGAGTAGCTGGCGTTACAGGTGCCTGCCACCAGGCACGGCTAATTTTTGGATTTTTAGCAGAGACACGGTTTCACTATATTGGCCAGGCTGCTCTCAAACTCCTTATCTCAGTTGATCCGCCCACCTCGGCTTCCCAACGTGCTGGGGAAACTTGATTTTCTATAGCATTATGTTACTGGATATTTCTGTAAAATTTAAAATGAGGGAGGGAGAGAGACAGACGGAAAACAAACTCCAGAGTTGGGACTCTGGAATCTTGGGTCATGAGACAAATTTTAGATTAAACTACAAAACTCCAGAATTTACAGGTGGGGTTTTTACTGATAAAGTACAATTCTAAGATTGTAAATAATTGCATAATCCTTCCCTGGGAATTTAAATCATTTTAACTGGTTCTGCTGTAATACTAGAAATACAAGCATGAAAAATTCTAATGGTTTGTTAGTCACAATGACTCTGAAAACATTAATAATACCTATTAGATATTTTGCATATTACACAGGAAGAAGAGTTTGAATCTCAGATAAAAACAATAGAAATACATGAAAAGTCTTTCATGTTAGCACAGATTTTAGGCATCTCGTGTTCGGGAGGTTGGATCTCAGACGTGTTTTGAGTTGGTCATAGTGAAGGACACTAGGTGTCAAATTCTAGCGAGAACAATTTCCAGGAAGCCGTGTTCCGCTCTTGAGCGAGCACCCACTGGGCCTCATGCAAGGTAGAAAGAGCCTGCGTACGTCACCCTCCCATGATGTGGTCAACATGTAAACTGCATGGGCAGGGCGCCAAATAACATCCTGTGCGCTGCTGAGCTGAGCTCGGTCGCGGCTGCCTGTCTGCTCCGGCAGCACCATGTCGCTCTTGGTCGTCAGCATGGCGTGTGTTGGTGAGTCCTGGAAAGCAATAGAGGGAGGGAGCGCGGGGATGGAGATCTGGGCCCAGAGGTGGAGATATAGGCCTGGAGGTGGAGTTATGGGCCTGGAGTGGAGATCTGGGCCTGGAGTGGATATATGGGCCTAGAGATGGAGTGATGGGCCTAGAAGTGGAGATCTGGGCCCAGAGGTCGAGATATAGGCCTGGAGGTGGAGTGATGGGACTGTAGTGGAGATCTGGGCCTGGAGTGGAGATAGGAACCTGGAGGGGAGATAGGAACCTGGAGGGGAGATATGGGCCTGGAGGTGGAGATATGGGCCTGGAGTGGAGTCATGGGCCTGGAGGTGGAGTTACGGGCCTGCAGTAGAGATATGGGCCTGAAGTGGAGACATGGGCCTGGAGTGGAGATATGGGCCAGGAGTGGAGATATGGGCCTAGAGGTCGATATCTGGGCCTGGAGTGGAGATATGGGCCAGGAGTGGAGATATGGGCCTAGAGGTCGATATCTGGGCCTGGAGAGGAGATATGTGCCTAGGATGGAGATACGGGCCTGGGTGTGGAGATATGGGACTGGAGAGGATATATGGGCCTGGAGTGGAGATATGGGACTGGAGAGGAGATATGGACCTGGAGTGGAGATAAGGGCCTGGATTGGAGATATGGGCCCAGGGTGGAGATCTGAGCCTGGATTGGAGATATGGGCCTGGATTGGCGATATGGGCTTAGGGTGGAAATATCGGCCTGGAGTGGAGATATGGGCCTGGAGTGGAGATATGGGCTTGAGGTGGGGATATGGACCTGGAGGCTGGGTCTCTGCACAGCCGACAGCCCTGTTCTTGGGTGCAGGTAGGCACTGAGGGTGAGTTTACCTTCAGCCCAGGAAGGGCCTGGCTACCAAGACTCACAGCCCAGTGGGGGCAGCAAGGGTGCCCTGGTTTGCCTGCAGATGGGTCATCCATCATGATCTTTCTTTCCAGGGTTCTTCTTGCTGCAGGGGGCCTGGCCACATGAGGGTGAGTCCTTCTCCAAACCTTCGGGTGTCAATCTCCCCACATAAGAGGATTTTCCTGAAATGGGAGGGAAGTCCTGTCAGGGAGTCTCTCATAAACTAGGAAGAAGGGACCCTGGGGTGCTGGGCCCACATTTCTGACCTTGCCTCCCTGGCCTTTCATTCCCTTGGCAGAGTCAAGTTCTGTGGGGACCAGGGTTAGACTACGGTGCTCAAAGCTGGGGTGTGTGGTGGGGAAGTGGTAGGAACAGCAGATCCTCTGAGGACAAAGGTGTTACTCACACACTTCAGCGTTTCCATGACGGTAGGGGCTGCAGTGTGGCTGCTGTCATTCTACCAGAAGAGGTGGGAAAACCACAGCCATGGCCCTGACATTCCAATCCTCTGATGGGGACTCAGTTGTTTATTTTCGTTCAGGCATCAGCTGATATTCCATTCTCAAAGGACATGCCCTCCACCCCATGTCTACCCTGTGTTGTTTTATGTGAGTAATCTTACAGTATTAAAATCTAGTAGGAGTCTCTTACTCAGCACTTGCTCAAAGTTCTCAGCTGACACTTTTGTTGTAGGGAGACACCTTGTGTTTGCGGGATGGGTCCTTCCTTTAGCCCTAGGCACCAAGGTGTGATAGCAGCCATAGAAACTTGGAAAGCGAGGAGAATCTTCAGAGCACAGGGAGGGAGGGGTGGCTCCACATCCTCCTCTCTAAGGCGGTGCCTCCTTCTCCCCAAGGTGGTCAGGACAAGCCCTTGCTGTCTGCCTGGCCAAGCCCTGTGGTGCCTCCAGGACATGTGATTCTTCAGTGTCATTCTTATCTTGGGTTTAACAACTTCAGTCTGTAAAAGGAAGATGGGGTGCCTGTCCCTGAGCTCTACAACATAATATTCTGGAACAGCCTTTTCATGGGCCCTGTGACCCCAGCACACGCAGGGACCTATACATGTCGGGGTTCACAACCACACTACCCCAGTGGGTGGTCGGCACCCAGCAACCCCCTGGAGATCACGGTCACAGGTCAGAGGGCTCCTGTCTGGGATTCTCCTTGTCCCACCTCCTGAATCCCAGAGCTCCTGGTGGGCGTGTCCTTGCGGGTCCCATCATGCAAGTCCTGACTGTATTTGGGGTAAAGGGGGATTGAATACAGGGAAATGGGTGCTGTGGTGGGAAGCACTGTGTTGTCCCCAGTGATGACTACATTCTAATCCCTGGAGTCTGTGACTATTTATGATATAGGGGAAGGGACTGAAGGAGAAGATGGAGCTCAGGTTGTTGATGAGTTGACCTTGAGATGGGGAGAAGGCCTGGACTGTCCTGATGGGCTCAGTGTAGTCACAGGGGTCCACATGAAAGGAGGAGGAAGAGGGGAGTGGGGATTACAGCAGCATAATGGGAGTCTCCATCAGCTTTGAAGGTGGAGGAAGTCCAGGAGCCATGAATGCAGGTGGCCTATAGAGGCTGGAAAAGTCAAGGAACTGATTCTCCTGAGTCTCCAGAGGGAACGAAGCCCTGCAGGTACCTTGATTTTACCCACGACAAACAGGGTCCGATTTCTGTCTCCAGAATTGGAAGGGGTTAGTGTGCTCTCTCCTGCTGCCATGCTTCTGATAATTTTCTACAGCAGCAACAGGAAACCAACACTGGAACCCAGGTCAAGGACAGGTTAAGAAACAACACAAGGATAGCCAGGCATGGTGGCAGGTGCATGTAATCCTAGCGACTTGGGAGGCTGAGGGCAGGAGAATCACTTGAACCCAGGAGACAGAGGTTGCAGTAAGCCTAGACCACACCACTTCACTCCAGCCTGGGCAAAGGAGTGAGACTCTGTCGCCAAAATTAATTAATTAATTAAAGAAACCAAACAAGGAGAAGGTTGGCTACACTGAGATCAGCAAGGCTCGGATGATGATGCCACCACCAGGCTCCATCCACATAGGGAGCGGTTGATACTCCTCCAACCAGCACCAGGAGCCAGGCTATGGAAGCTGGCACTGGCATGGCAAGAGTGTCTCCCAGTCCCTACCAGGAACAGGGTGTGTGGCCACTGGTGCCTGCCTTACTGATCAGTTCATACCTCCTGCCAAGGATTCCAATTCGTCCAAAAGAGATTGAACCAGGCTGCTAAGAGCCTGGATGTGCAGCCTATCCTGGTTCCTCTTCCACCCCCACACAGACAGCAGGAAAGACATTAGTTCGAAATAGATACAACAGCCCAAGAGATGAGGCTGAGCCCAGCGGCAAGGGAATCAGAGGCTACTAGAGACAGAGGGACAGAGAAGAGTGAGGGAGACAGATGGAAGGACCTGCACCAGGAGTTATGGGCACAGAAAAGAACATGAAGACACAGAGAGGAAGGAGAGAGATAAGACACCAGGAAGGGGAAGCCTCACTCAATCCAGGTGCCATGGATGGGATGATAAAGAGAGACACCTTCTAAACTCACAACCTCTCTTCCTAGGAGTCCACAGAAAACCTTCCCTCCTGGCCCACCCAGGTCGCCTGGTGAAATCAGAAGAGACAGTCATCCTGCAATGTTGGTCAGATGTCATGTTTGAACACTTCCTTCTGCACAGAGAGGGGATGTTTAACGACACTTTGCGCCTCATTGGAGAACACCATGATGGGGTCTCCAAGGCCAACTTCTCCATCAGTCGCATGACGCAAGACCTGGCAGGGACCTACAGATGCTACGGTTCTGTTACTCACTCCCCCTATCAGGTGTCAGCTCCCAGTGACCCTCTGGACGTCGTGATCATAGGTGAGAGTGTCCAGACTTTCTTCTCATTGTCATTGGGATGCAGAGTGAATGATCCAGGACTTGGAGGCCCAGGTGGCTGTAAGGAAGATGAGCTTGGTATTCTTATGGAGAGAGACTGACTTGGTGAGGTCTGTGCCAACAGAGACAGAGAAACAGGAGACACAAGTAGAGACCAGGTGTCATAACAGAGAACAGACACAGGGGCCATACCGGGAGTTTGAAAAGACAGAAAGAGTTAAAGGAGACACACAGACAGACATGTCCCAGAGAGAGGTGTCCCTCCATGCTGACTTTGCTCAGAGACCTGGCACAGGTTAGAAGTTTCATTTCTGTTTTACCTCCACAAAGTGTTCTCTACCAGGAGAACCCAAGGACACCCATATTTCTGACCTGAGTTGGGCCCTGTGGCCTCAGGCCTTGTGGCACCTACAGATGCCATGTTTATTCTGACACCTCTGCCTTCCATGTAATGGAGAGTAATCGTCCCAGGATATCATGGCCCCACAACACCAACCCCTGTATGCTGTGTGAACTTGTAGTCTCCAGACTGGATTCTGAGGCTCATATTCCAAATAAGCCCACTTATGAGAGGATCAGTGAGAGGCACAGAGAGAAATCAGGGACACCAAAAAGCAAAGACATAAACACACAGAGAATGAGCCAGAGGAAGGAGATTGAGCGACTCACAGACACATAAAGAGAGAGAAAAGAGGGCAGAGAAGTGAGAATGATGGAAGGGAGCAGAGAAAATCACTAAAGTTAGACTCCTGAGGGAGAGGCACAAGGACATTGAAAGATGGAGATGTGGGGATGAATTGCAGAGATTCCAAAGAGAACTAGAGAGACCGAGAGGCAGAGCAAGACAGATGATAGATGGATAGATATAGATAGATGATAAATAGGTAGATGATAGATAATAGGTTATAGATACATAGATGATGATTGATTGATTCATTAATAGATGAGACATAGAGATGATGATGATGAAGACACATAGATAGATAATACATAGAGATACAGAGGCAGACATAGAGAAATCATAGAGAGAGAGAGATGATACATAGATATAGATAATAGATGATTGATGGATAGATAGACAATTGATGGATAAATAGATGATATATAGATATAGATGACAGGTAGAGAATTTGTAGATAGGCACCGAATAGATAAATAGATAGATCGATAGATAATAGATAGAAATATGCAGAAAGTTATGAACAGGACACAAAGTGAGAAACTCAGAATTAAAAAAAGTAACATCAAGTCAACCAATCCAAGGAGAGTCAGAGAGAATAAAACAATCCAAAAAGAGAAAACATATCTAGAGGTGGGGAAGTGAGGTCAGAGACCTAGAGAGACAGAGAAGGTGGAAGGAGGAAATAGACATGAAGAGCGATGGGGTAGAGGGTGAGAGAGAGAGAGAGAGAGCATTAGGTCATAGAACAGGGGAGTGAGTTCTCAGCTCAGGTGAAGGGAGCTGTGACAAGGAAGATCCTCCCTGAGGAAACTGCCTCTTCTCCTTCCAGGTCTATATGAGAAACCTTCTCTCTCAGCCCAGCCGGGCCCCACGGTTCTGGCAGGAGAGAATGTGACCTTGTCCTGCAGCTCCCGGAGCTCCTATGACATGTACCATCTATCCAGGGAAGGGGAGGCCCATGAACGTAGGCTCCCTGCAGGGACCAAGGTCAACGGAACATTCCAGGCCAACTTTCCTCTGGGCCCTGCCACCCATGGAGGGACCTACAGATGCTTCGGCTCTTTCCGTGACTCTCCATACGAGTGGTCAAAGTCAAGTGACCCACTGCTTGTTTCTGTCACAGGTGAGGAAAGCCCATGGCTGTCCCATGTCCTATGATCCTAGAGCCTTAGCTGAGGAGCTTCCTGCTGATGATGGAGAGAAGCATGGACAGATGCAGAGAGAAGACGCAGCCTCGGTGTGAGGGAGGGATCAGGGCACAGGATGGCCGACAGGGCACCTCCAAACCCTCCTACATGGCCTGCATGGAGGCCCACGGCCAGGGCTCCAGGCACCCAGGCAGATGGAGAAAGCGGTCAGGAGAGACCCAGAGGAGGGAGACTGGGCTCAGTTTGGGGAGATCAGAGGTTCCCTCAGCCCCTCAACCTTACCCATTTCCCAGAAGCCCATCCTGGCCTCTCACCCACACAGAGATGTCATCACCAGCAACCCCTACACCCTTTACTTTTCTTTGAAGAAATATTTATTGAGGATAAATATACCTATATAGCTTACCACTTTTAACATTTTTTTTTGAGGTGGAGTCTAGCTGTGTCCCCTATGCTGGAGTGCAGTGGCACAATCTCAGCTCACTGCAACCTCCACCTCCTGGGTTCAAGCGATTCTCCTGCCTCAGCCACCTGAGTAGCTGGTGCTACAGGCACGCACCACCACGCCAGGCTACTTTTTGTATTTTTAGTAGGGAGGTGGTTTCACCATGTTGGTCGAGCTGGTCTCGAACTCCTGACCAAGTGATCCACCCGCATCTGCCTCCCAAAGTGCTGGGATTACAGGCATGGGCCACCGCGCCCAGCCACATTTACCATTTTTAAGTGTAAAGTCTAGTGGTCATAAATACATTTATATACATATATATATATACATTTTTTTTACCCTCCACCCTTTTCTTCCTGTCCTCCAGTAGCCACCATTCTACTCTCTACCTTCATGAGATCCACCTTTTAGCTCCTGTATATGGGTGAGAAATGGGAATCTTTGTAATGACCTCCAGTTCCATCCATGTGGCTGCAAATGACAGGATGTTATTCTTTCTATGGATGAGTAGTCTCCACTATGCGTATGTACTACATTCTCTCTATCCATTTACCCACTGATGGGCAGGTAGGTTGACTCCTCATCTTGGCTACTGTGAACAGTGCTGCACCAATCATACGAGTGCAGATATCACTTCGATATATTGATTTACTTTCCTTTGGATATAAACCCAGTAGTGAAATTGCTGGATACTATGAAAGTTCTCTTTTTTTCTTTTTTTCTTTTTTGAGAAAGAGTTTCCCTCCTTAGCCCAAGCTGGAGTCAAAGTGGTGCGACCTTGGCTCATTGCAACCTACGCCTCCTGGGTTCAAATGATTTTCCTGCCTCAGCCTCCCTAGTAGCTGGGATTACAGGTGCACACCACCATCCCTGGCTACTTTTTGGTTTTTTTAGTATAGATGGGGTTTCCCCATGTTGGCTGGGCTGCTCTCAAACTCATGACCTCAACTGAGGTGCCCGCCTCAGTCTCCCAAAGTGCCGGGATTACAGGCATGATCCACCGCACCCAACCTCTTTTTAGTTCTTTAAAGGACTTCCATACTTTTCTCCGTAATGGCTGTACTAATTTACACTCCTCCCAACAGGGTACCAGGGTTCTCCTTTCTCTACCACCTTGCCAGCATTTCTTTTGCCTGTCTTGCAGCTAAAAGCCATTTTATTTTATTTCATTTTATTTTGAGATGGAGTTTTGCTCTTCTCACCCAGGCTGGAGTGCAGTGGCGCGATCTCGGCTCACCACAACCTCCACCTCCCAGGTTCAAGCGATTCTCCTGCCTCAGCCTCCCGAGTAGCTGGAATTACAGGCACACGCCACCACGCCCGACTAATTTTTGTATTTTTAGTAGAGACAGCGTTTCTCTATGTGGGTCATACTGGTCTCAAACTCCCGACCTTATGAGATTCACCCACCTCAGGCTCTCAAAGTTCTAGGATGACAAACGTGAGCCACCTCACCCGGCCTAAAAGCCATTTTAATGGGGTGAGATGAAAACTCACTTTGAATTTAATTTGCGTTTCTCTGATGATGAGTGATACTGAGCAGTTTTTCGTATGTGGGGAAATTTCATGTCTTTTGCTCCTTTTTCAATTAAATCATTTGTTTTATTGAGTTGTTTGAGCTTCTTATATTTCTAGTTATTAATCCCATCTCAGATGCATAGTTTGCACATATTTGCTCCCAATCTGTGGGTTGTCTCTTCACTTTGTTGGTTTATTTTTAGCGGTGCAGAAGTTGCTTAGTATGAGGTAATCCCAATGGTCTATTTTTGCTTCGATTACTTGTGTTTTCAAGGTTTAAAACAAAATGTCTTTCTTCAGACAAGTGTCCTGGAGCATTTCCCCAATATTTTGTTCTACGTGTTTCATAGGTTCAGGCCTTAGACTCACATCTTTAATCCATTTTCATTTGATTTTTGTGTATGGTGACAGGTAGAGGTGCAGTTTCATTCCTCTGCATGTAGATGTCCAGGTTTCCCTGCACTGTTTATTGAAAAGACTGTCCTTTCCTGATTGTGAGTTCTTGGCATCTTTGTCAAAGTCCATTGGATGGGCTGGGCTTGGTGGCTAACACCTGCAATTTCAGCACTTTGGGAGCCCAAGGTGGGTGGATCACCTGAGGCCAGGAGTTCAAGATTAGTCTGGCCGACGTGATGAAACATCATCTCCACTAAAAATATAAAAATTAGCTGAGCATGGTGGTCAGCACCTGTAATACCACTACTCAGGAGTTTGAGGCAAGAGAATGATTGAACCCAGGAGGCTGAGGTTGCAGTGAACCGAGATTGCACCTTTGCACTCCAGCCTGAGTGACAGAGCAAGACTCCATCTCAAAAGAAAAAATAAAAAACCATTGGATGTAAATGCATGGAATATATCTGTGTTATTCATTCTGCTCCGTTGTTCTATGTGCCTTTCTTTATGCCAATGTCATGCTATTTTGCTTACTACAGCTCTGTAACATATTTTGAGATCAGGTAGTGTGATGCTCCTGTTTTCTCTTTATACCTTGAAGTCTCAAGACAGTGGGTGTCACATAAAAAAATTATGGAAAAAAGGATCCCAGGACTCCCAGGGCCCAATATTAGATAACAGAGTGTTGGCCATGAACCATCCTCAAAGATTTCCACTGAGTGGAGGACAGAAACCCTCATTTCCTCACCTCTCTCCTGTCTCATGTTCTAGGAAACCCTTCAAATAGTTGGCCTTCACCCACTGAACCAAGCTCCGAAACCGGTGAGTACAGAACCCTCTTATATCCGCTTTTGGAAACCTGGGGAGGTGGAAACCTTGGATTCAGGCGTTGACTCAGCATCTCACAGCTCTGACATTGTACACCTGTCTTCCACCATCTCCGAACTCCAGATACTCCTACAGCGAAAGGGATCTGGGCCCAACACAGGGCTCAGTGAAATCTCTTCATCTCTCATTTTATGGAGCTGAGACCTCCTACAAGCTAGAAGAATGATTGCCAATCTGACATCCTTCTCAGGAAAAATGCAATGTTTGTTCTGCCTGCATTCCTAACTGGAGGATAAATTCCTGGAGACTTGAGAGAGGGAAGGGAAGGGAACATCTGATGAGGGCGAGGTGTTTTAGAGAAGTTCCACTTGCCAAGGAATGAGCTCCTGTAGGTCATGAAGCAACCCTGGCTGACTCAGCAGAGCAAGAGCCTTGCCGTAACAGAGAACAGAGCTCATGCACGCACACTTCGACTCACTGACTCATTCAGCCACGGCCCCATGCTCAGGCTGTGCAGTGCGGAACCTTTTCCTATTGTTGCCATAACAAATTTCCACAAGATTCGTGGGTGAAAACAAAACGGTTTTTTAATTATCTTACAGTGCTGTAGCTCAAAGTAGGAAGTGCATCTTACTGGGCTAAAATCAAGGTGACAGCAAGGCTGCCTTCCCTCTGAGGATTCCAGGCACGAATCTGCTTCTCACTTGTCCCAGCTTCTAAAGGCTCCCAGTTCCTTGGCTCCTGGTCCCCTTCCTCCTTCCTCAAAGCCCACAAAGACTGGTCACATCTCACATGGCATCACTCAGTGCCTTCTTCCTTACCACACTTCTTTCTCTGAATGCTGCTCTCCCTTCTTCCTCATCTTTTGAAAACTTGGGGATTCTATTGGGTTCACCAAGATGAAAATCCCTCATAATCTCCTGGAAATCATCCAGGATACCCTTGTTTTAAGTTCAGCTGATTAGTAACCATAATTCCATCTGCAATCTTCATTCCTCCTTTCCATGTAAAATAACATATTCACAAGCTATGGAGGCTAGGACAGGGACATTTTGGGGTGGGACAGCATTCTCCTGCCTTCCACAAACAGTGAACAAGATGCATTTGGCCTCTGCCCTTGGGACACTGATATTGCAGATGGTTAAATGGGAGGGCAGAAAATGAATGCACAAGTGGATCTATAAATGAATGATCCATTGGGAAGCATCTGTGCGTGAAATCTATTTTTTGTTTGTTCTTTTGTTTATTGAGACAGAGTCGCCCTCTGTCTTCCAGGCTACAGTGCAGTGTCACGATCTTGGCTCACTGCAACCTGCGTCTCCTGGATTCAAGTGATTCTCCTGCCTCCGCCTCTCGAGTAGCTGGGATTACAGGCAACTGCCACCGTGCCCGGCTAATTCTTTTTGTATATTTTTTGTAGAGAGGATGTTTCACCACGTTGGCCAAGCTTGTCTGAAACTCCCAACCTCAAGTGATCCGACCGTCTCAGCATGCCAAAGTAATGGGACTACAGGCGTGAGCCACTGTGCCCAGCCAGAATTCAAAATCAATAATAGATAATGCTGAGTGTATGATTTCAGGTGACAAAGAAGGTCTCACTATTCAGATATTTGTGACATTAATGAAAAACACGGATTGAACCCCTGAAAGATTGGCGGAAGGATTTTGCACACACAGCTGTCAGCCGTGAAGGCACAAAGGTGAAAACAATCTGATATGGAAGGAAGAGGCTCTGCCTCAAATGCTGGGAATGATGTGGGGAGAATGACAAGATGACTGTAGAGAGACGGAGAGCACACTGGGTACACAGGAAACTAAGGAGCAACAAGGAGTGTGTGTTTGACACTCACAGCCATTGAATTCACCTCGGGGTAACTAGGAATCCCTACATGATTAATATGACTGACATGAAAATAAGGGAGGCTCAGTTGCATAACTGGAATCTAGGAGACCGTGGAAAAGGCAATTGCCGCCCCACTGGTGAAATGTGGTGCTGATTTAGACACTAAATGAATGAAGTAGATGGATATAAGATATGTTTGTGAGGTAGAATCATTGACTGGAAACGCTTACTGGGTTTGATTTTCCTACTTGTTTAATCCTCGCTTAATTAATTTCTTTCTGAGATTTATTCATCCTACACATAAATCAATACCTGGCAAAGGAGTGACAGATATATGAGGGGTGGTGGAAATGAAGGGACCTATTATAGCATAATATACAAGTCTGTGAACGGTGGCTCACGCCTGTAACCCAGCACTGCAGGAGGCCAAGGCGGGTGGATCACATGAAGTCAGCAGTTCGAGACCAGCCTGGCCAACATGGTGAAACCCTGTCTCTAGGAAAAACACAAAAATTAGCCGAGCATGGTGGTGCATCCCTGTAATCCCAGCTCCTACTCTGGAGGATGAAGCAGGAGAATGACTTCAACCCAGGAGGTGGAGGTTGCAGTGAGTGGAGGTTGCATCACTGCACTCCAGCCTGGGTGGCACAAGGAGACTCCGTCTCAAAAAATAAAAATAAGAAATGCATAAATATAAATATAATATAACACACGCAAATGACAAAGGGACCTGAATTCCAATCATGATTTTTCTATTTCTCTATAATTACTTCTTTGATCCTTTATCTTATCCATTAGGCAATGAGCCTAAAACCTCTTCCCTATTTGGCTTTCTGTGAGCATGAGATCACATAGAAAATGTGAAAGCCCGCTGAATCCTCCAGCACAGATCCTGGAATAGAGAAAGTGCTCTGGTCATCACAAAAAAAACTTGCCCACTCACCCAAATCCCCCACCTCACCCCTACTTCCAATCACCTGTGGAGATTCAGATAGACCATGGGGAGGTAAACATTAACACTCCTTGGAGTGAGTCCAGATCTTGGAATCAGAGATCAGCGACAGCACTAGCTCCTGCTCCCCTTTCCTACTAATTCACAGGAGGACAGGTGGTTTTGAAGCAATAGATGGCCGAGGGGGTGGTCCTTCCCCCAGCCTCTCGGGTAGAACAGCAGCCTAATATGTGTCTCCCGAGATCACAAAGAGCAGCAGGTTTCACACGGGCTTCAACACTATTTCCTGGCCGTTTGACATAAGAGAATTCTATTTCGCTTTTTTTATCTTGATTTCACTTTTGTTTTCTTTCCTTGGAGAATGCAAGTTGTTTGATTCAAGAATGCTGTGGATGTAGAAACCCTAAAGCACATTCGCTGTGAATCAATCCCAGTCCAGTCTTCCCAGAGAAGACTCTAAACACCTCCTGGACTGCACCTGGGCCTATGCCAATTCCTATCACTCACCGTCACTCCAGGGAGACAGAACACACAGAGAATACGTTACATAGGCAGGTTCATTACTAACAGATAAGCAGCGAGTGACAACAGAAACCTATATTTCAATGTGAGCCAGTCCCTCAAGGCTCAGAAAAGCTCCTCGGGACATATGGAGTCACCCCATTTGCAGTGTAGCTGCGGGAAGCCAGAAAGCAGCCCAGCCTGGGTTTTGTACCCTGGAGCCACAGGAAGCACTCAGCTAAAGCACTGCATGACGTCCTCCTCCAGGAAGAACAGGAAGACAGCCCAGGCTGTTCTGAGACGTTCCTCCTGATCTCAGGAAGTTGCTGTCTTAGGCCATTTTTGTTGCTCTAAAGGAACACTTGAGCCTCGGTAACTTCTAAAGAAAAGAGATTGGTTTGTCTCACCGTTCTGCAGGCTGTACTGGAAGCATGGCACCAGCATCTATTTCTCGTGACGGCCTCAGGCTGCTCCCACTCTGGCAGAAGGGAAGGAGGGTCTGTCTGTGCAGAGACCACAGAGATCACACGGCAAGAGAGGGAGCAAGGGGGAGGGGGAGTGATGGAGCTTCCAAGCTCTTTTTAACAACCAGCTCTCCGGGAACTAATAGAGGGGGAACTTGCTAACCCCGTCTCCTTGGGACAGCATTGATGTGTTCATGATGGATCCACCTCCATGACCCAAACACCTCTCAAGAGGCCCAACCTCCCACAGTGGGGGTGAAATTTCAATGTGAGGTTTGAAGGGGTCAAACATCTCAACTAAAGTAGTCGTATCCTCAGCACGTTCTATGGTTACTATGAGAGCTATAACTGAAAAAGCAGGAGAAAGCTGGGTCTCCTGCTATCTGGGTGCTTGTCCTAAAGAGGTGTTTTATGTGGTTACCTGTCAATCAAGAAATGCGAGACAATTCATAAAGAGGAACTGCTAAGATTAGCTTCTTATTGGTGTCTCATCTTCTTCCAGGTAACCCCCGACACCTGCACATTCTGATTGGGACCTCAGTGGTCATCATCCTCTTCATCCTCCTCTTCTTTCTCCTTCATTGCTGGTGCTCCAACAAAAAAAGTAAGTCTCACGAAGCAGAGGCCAGAGAGCTCAGGGCCATGTGGGGAAGCAGGATGGGAGCACTCAGGTGTGTGTTCCTCACAAACAGGATGGTCCCTGGCCCAAGGCAGCAGCCACAGAGGCAGGACTTTCTAGAGAGGGCACCAGACTCCCTGTCCCTGCCTTCAACTCACAGACCGTTGCCTGATTCTGAACTGTATCCTCATGTCCACTGCAGCCACTCACATCCAGGAGAAGGTTCCATGACAGGCAGAAAGTGGGAGACAGAATCAATGGGATGGGAACTCAGAGCTATTCATGGGATGGGTCCTTGAGCTCAGAGAGATAGAATGTCTGAGTCTGCTGTTGGCAACTGAGGGACCTCAGCCACCTATGGTCTCCCCCTGTATGTTGGTATCTGCTTATGAAATGAGGACCCAGAAGTGCCCTCCGAGCTGTTTTGTTGACTTCCGTCTTCTACAGATGCTGCGGTAATGGACCAAGAGTCTGCAGGAAACAGAACAGCGAATAGCGAGGTAGGTACTCCTCGGCCCGGGCTCGTGGCTACTGTTATTCCCAAAGAGTCCTGGAAAATGTGAGCACCCTCCCTCACTCAGCATTTCCCTCTCTCCAGGACTCTGATGAACAAGACCCTCAGGAGGTGACATACACACAGTTGAATCACTGCGTTTTCACACAGAGAAAAATCACTCGCCCTTCTCAGAGGCCCAAGACACCCCCAACAGATATCATCGTGTACACGGAACTTCCAAATGCTGAGTCCAGATCCAAAGTTGTCTCCTGCCCATGAGCACCACAGTCAGGCCTTGAGGGCGTCTTCTAGGGAGACAACAGCCCTGTCTCAAAACCGGGTTGCCAGCTCCCATGTACCAGCAGCTGGAATCTGAAGGCATGAGTCTGCATCTTAGGGCATCGCTCTTCCTCACACCACAAATCTGAATGTGCCTCTCACTTGCTTACAAATGTCTAAGGTCCCCACTGCCTGCTGGAGAAAAAACACACTCCTTTGCTTAGCCCACAGTTCTCCATTTCACTTGACCCCTGCCCACCTCTCCAACCTAACTGGCTTACTTCCTAGTCTACTTGAGGCTGCAATCACACTGAGGAACTCACAATTCCAAACATACAAGAGGCTCCCTCTTAACGCAGCACTTAGACACGTGTTGTTCCACCTTCCCTCATGCTGTTCCACCTCCCCTCAGACTAGCTTTCAGTCTTCTGTCAGCAGTAAAACTTATATATTTTTTAAAATAACTTCAATGTAGTTTTCCATCCTTCAAATAAACATGTCTGCCCCCATGGTTTCGGTAATGGGACTCTTTTCTTGCCTAAGGCTTCCGGTGTTATCAGTACCATGTCCATATAATCCCATCTGTTCCCCACTGAGTTCTCATCCCCGGACTCTGAGTTTCTGGAAGCAGGGTGGAGCCTCATTTGTCTCTGGGACTCCAATTTCCATCCAAAGATGTAGCACATAGGAGGTTCCAAGGATCACGAATCATATGAACAAGTGATACTCTTACTCTCTGCAGACCTGGAAAGCTGGCAGAGTCATTCCACAATGAAACATTTGTAGAATCATAGGCCTTGTTAGTCTCATCTCCATGGGGACACATATCAACACATCATCTTTCATAATATAAATATACGGTCACTCCTCCATATCTGCGGGGTTTACAGGTGTTTATTGAACCAAGTATAAATCAAAAATATTGAGAGAAAGTATCCACAGAGTTTCAAAAAGCATAACTATGTTGAATGGACACAAATGAAGCTGTGTGTAGGCTGTATCAGGAATTATAAGTAATCTAGAGATGATTTCATGTATACAGGAGGATGTGCATAGGTTATTTGCAAACGCTGTGCCATTTCATATAAGAGGCTTGAGCATCTACAGATTTTGGTATCTGAGTGGAGATCTCAAAACCAATCACCCACGAATAGTGAAGGATGACCGTATATGACTTTTATTTCTCAAATTTAAATATAAATCATAAAAAATGTACAACTAGATAAAAACTAAGAAGTGTTTTTATAGTGTGAGTTAGATTTATTTTTTCCTAGGTGTAACCAATTGGTTTAATATTATTTATTGAGAAGACATTCTATGCCACCTTAAACCACACGGCAGCCTTTGTCAACTCTAAAGGGACTGTGTGTACATGGATGTATTTTAGACACTGTTTCTGCTAAGGGGCTCTCTGTGTCCACACTCTTGATGATGCTGCACTTTATGTAGCCTTATAGAACCCTTTAAATTTAGTAGCCAGAGCCCTCTAATTTGTTATTATAGGCTGTTTGCTTTTTTTTTCTTGAGGCGGAGTCTTGCTCTGTCGCCCAGGCTGGACTGCAGTGACACAATCTCAGCTCACTGCAACCTCCGCCTCCCAGGTTCAAGCGATTCTCGTGCCTCAGCCTCTTGAGTAGCTGGCGTTACAGGTGCCTGCCACCAGGCACGGCTAATTTTTGGATTTTTAACAGAGACACGGTTTCACTATATTGGCCAGGCTGCTCTCAAACTCCTTATCTCAGTTGATCTGCCCACCTCGGCTTCCCAACGTGCTGGGGAAAACTTGATTTTCTATAGCATTATGTTACTGGATATTTCTGTAAAATTTAAAACGAGGGAGGGAGAGAGACAGACAGAGAGCAAACTCCAGAGTTGGGACTCTGGAATCTTGGGTCATGAGACAAATTTTAGATTAAACTACAAAACTCCAGAATTTACAGGTGTGGTTTTTGCTGATAAAGTACAATTCGAAGATTGTAAATAATTGCATAATCCTTCCCTGGGAATTTAAATCATTTTAGCTGGTTCTGCTGTAATACTAGAAATACAAGCATGAAAAATTCTAATGGTTTATTAGTCACAATGACTCCGAAAACATTAATAATACCTATTAGATACTTTGCATATTACACAGGAAGAAGAGTTTGAATCTCAGATAAAAACAAAAAAAATACATGAAAAGTCTTTCATGTTAGCACAGATTTTAGGCATCTCGTGTTCGGATAAAAATACATGAAAAGTCTTTCACGTTAGCACAGATTTTAGGCATCTTGTGTTCGGGAGGTTGGATCTGAGACGTGTTGTGAGTTGGTCATAGTGAAGGACGTGAGGTGCCAATTCTAGTGAGAACAATTTCCAGGAAGCCGTGTTCCGCTCTTGAGCAAGCATCCACTGGGCCTCATGCAAGGTAGAAAGAGCCTGCGTACGTCACCCTCCCATGATGTAGTCAACATGTAAGCTGCATGGGCAGGGCGCCAAATAACATCCTGTGCGCTGCTGAGCTGAGCTGGGGCGCGGCCGCCTGTCTGCACCGGCAGCACCATGTCGCTCATGGTCGTCAGCATGGCGTGTGTTGGTGAGTCCTGGAAAGGAATAGAGGGAGGGAGTGCCACATCCTCCTCTCTAAGGTGGCGCCTCCTTCTCCCCCAGGTGGTCAGGACAAGCCCTTCCTCTCTGCCTGGCCCAGCCCCGTGGTGTCTGAAGGAGAACATGTGGCTCTTCAGTGTCGCTCTCGTCTTGGGTTTAACGAATTCAGTCTGTCCAAAGAAGACGGGATGCCTGTCCCTGAGCTCTACAACAGAGTATTCCGAAACACCGTTTTCATAGGCCCTGTGACCCCAGCACATGCAGGGACCTACAGATGTCGGGGTTCACACCCACACTTCCTCACTGGGTGGTCAGCACCCAGCAACCCCCTGGTGATCATGGTCACAGGTCAGAGGGCTCCTGTCTGGGATTCTCCTTGTCCCACCTCCTGAGTCCCAGAGCTTCTGGTGGGAGTGTCCACCAGCGTCCCATCATCCAGACCCTAACTGTATTTGGGATAAAAGGGGATTGAATACAGGGAAATGGGTGCTGTGGTGGAAAGAATAATTGTCCCCAATGATGACTGCATTCTAATCCCTGCAGTCTGTGACTATTTATGTTATAGGGGAAGGCACTGAAGGGGAAGATGGAGCTCAGGTTGTTGAGTTGACCTTGAGATGGGGAGACAGCCTGGACTGTCCTGCTGGGCTCAGTGTAATCACAAGGGTGCACATGAGAGGAGAAGGAAGAGGGGAGTGGCGATTAGAGCAGTGCAATGGAAGTCTCCATCAGCTTTGAAGGTGGAGGAAGGCCATGAGCCATGAATGCAGGTGGCCTATAGAGGCTGGAAAAGTCAAGGAACTGATTCTCCTGGGTCTCCAGAGGGAACGCAGCCCTGCAGATGCCTTGATTTTAGCCCTCAAAAAACAGGGTCCGATTTCTGTCTCCAGAAACGGAAGGGGTCAGTGTGCTCTCTCCTGCTGCCATGCTTCTGATAATTTTCTACAGCACCAACAGGAAACCAACACTGGAACCCAGGTCAAGGACAAGATAAGAAAGGACACAAGGATAGCCGGGCGTGGTGGCAGGTGCATGTAATCCTAGCAACTCAGGAGGTTGAGGGCAGGAGAATCACTTGAACCCAGGAGACAGAGGTTGCAGTGAGCCTAGACCACACCACTTCACTCCAGCCTGGGTGAAGGAGTGAGACTCTGACTCCAAAATTAATTAATTAATTAAAGAAACCAAACAAAGAGAAGGTTGGCTACACCGAGATCAGCAAGGGTGGGATGATGATGCCACCACCAGGCTCCATCCACATAGGGAGGGGTTGATACTCCTCAAACCAGCACCAGAAGCCAGCCTATGGAAGCTGGCACCATGGAGAAGGCACAGGCATGGCAAGAGTGGCTCCCAGTCCCCACCAGGAACAGGGTGTGTGGACACTGGTGCCTGCCTTACTGATCAGTTCATACCTTCTGCCAAGGATTCCAATTCGTCCAAAAGAGATTGAACCAGTCTGCTAAGAGCCTGGACGTGCAGCCTATCCTGGTTCCTCTTCCACCCCCACATAGAAGCAGGAAAGACATTAGTTCGAAATAGATACAACAGCCCAAGAGATGAGGCTGAGCCCAGCGTCAAGGGAATCAGGAGCTACTAGAGACAGAGGGACAGAGAAGAGGGAGGGAGACAGATGGAAGGACCTGTACCAGGAGTTATGGGCACAGAAAAGAACATGAAGACACAGAGAGGAAGGAGAGAGATAAGACACCAGCGAGGGGAAGCCTCACTCATTCTAGGTGCCATGGATGGGATGATAAAGAGAGATGCCTTCTAAAGTCACAACTTCTCTTCCTAGGAGTCCACAGAAAACCTTCCCTCCTGGCCCACCCAGGTCCCCTGGTGAAATCAGAAGAGACAGTCATCCTGCAATGTTGGTCAGATGTCATGTTTGAGCACTTCCTTCTGCACAGAGAGGGGAAGTTTAATGACACTTTGCGCCTCACTGGAGAGCTCCATGATGGGGTCTCCAAGGCCAACTTCTCCATCGGTCGCATGACGCAAGACCTTGCAGGGACCTACAGATGCTACGGTTCTGTTCCTCATTCCCCCTATCAGTTGTCAGCTCCCAGTGACCCTCTGGACATCGTGATTACAGGTGAGAGTGTCTGGACATTATTCTCATTGTCACTGGGACACAGAGTGAATGATCCACGACTTGGAGGCCCAGGTGGTTATAAGGAAGATGAGCTTGGTATTCTTATGGAGAGAGACTAACTTGGTGAGGTCTGTACCAACAGAGACAGAGAAACAGGAGACACAAGTACAGACCAGGTGTCATAACAGAGGACAGACACAGGGGCCATACAGGGAGTTAGAAAAGACAGAAAGAGTTAAAGGAGACACAGACAGACATGTGCCAGAGAGAGGTGTCCTTCCATGCTGACTTTGCTCAGAGACCTGGCACAGGTTAGAAGTTTCATTTCTGTTTTACTTCCACAAAGTGTTCTCTACCAGAAGAACCCAAGGACACCCATATTTCTGGCCTGAGTTGGGCCCTGTGGCCTCAGGCCTTCTGGCACCTACAGATGCCGTGTTTATTCTGACACCTCTGCCTTCCATGCAATGGAGAGTAATCGTCCCAGGATATCATGGCCCCAGAACATCAACCCCTGTATACTGTGTGAACTTGCGGTCCCCAGACTGGATTCTGAGGCTCACATTCCAAATAACCCCACATATGAGAGGATCACTGAGAGACACAGAGAGAAATCAGGGACACCAAAAAGCAAAGACATAAACACACAGAGAATGAGCCAGAGGAAGGAGATTGAGAGACTCACAGACACATAAAGAGGGAGAAAAGAGGGCAGAGAAGTGGAGAGAACAATGGAAGGGAACAGAGAAAAGCACTAAAATTAGAGTCCTGAGGGAGAGACACAAGGACATAGAAAGATGGAGATGTGGGGATGAATTGCAGAGATTCCAAAGAGAACTAGAGAGACCGAGAGGCAGAGCAAGACAGATGATAGATGGATAGATATAGATAGATGATAAATAGGTAGATGATAGATAATAGGTTATAGATACATAGATGATGATTGATTCATTCATTGATTAATCGATGATACATAGAGATGATGAAGATGAAGATAGATAATACATAGAGATAGAGAGGCAGACAAAGAGAAATCATAGAGAGAGAGAGACGATACATAGATATAGATAATAGATGATTTTTGGATAGACAATTGATAGATAAATAGATTATATATAGATATAGATGACAGGTAGAGAATTTGTAGATAGGCACCAAATAGATAAATAGATATATCGATAGATAATAGATAGAAATATGCAGAAAGTTATGAACAGGACACAAAGTGAGAAACTCAGAATTTAAAAAAAGTAACATCAAGTCAACTAGTCCAAGGAGAGTCAGAGAGAATAAAACAATCCAAAAAGGGAAAACATATCTAGAGGTGAGAAAGTGAGGTCAGAGACCTAGAGAGACAGAGAAGGTGGAAAGAGGAAATAGACATAAAGAGAGATGGTGTGGAGGGTGAGACAGAGAGAGAGAGCATTAGGCCATAGAGCAGGGGAGTGAGTTCTCAGCTCAGGTGGGAGGGGAGTTGTGACAAGGAAGAACCTCCCTGAGGAAACTGCCTCTTCTCCTTCCAGGTCTATGTGGGAAACCTTCTCTCTCAGCCCAGCCGCGCCCCATGGTTAAGGCAGGAGAGAGCGTGACCTTGTCCTGCAGCTCCCGGAGCTCCTATGACATCTACCATCTATCAAGGGAGGGGGAGGCTCATGAACTTAGGTTCCCTGCAGTGCCCAAGGTCAATGGAACCTTCCAGGCCAACTTTCCTCTGGGCCCTGCCACCCACGGAGGGACCTACAGATGCTTCGGCTCTTTCCGTGACTCTCCCTACGAGTGGTCAGACCTTAGTGACCCACTGCTTGTTTCTGTCACAGGTGAGGAAACCAGTCTGTTCCCCAAATAGTGGGACTCAGATGGACTACAATGGCCACATTCAGGGGAGCCTCAGATGGAGGGGGTGGCCATGGGGGTGTCAGCCAGAGATGCTGGACAGAAGAGACACAAAGCAAACATACAGAAAGAGGCATAGACAGACAGACAGAGCGAGGCAGACAGATCACATTAGGGTTTGGGGTGGTAACTGCAACCCTACCTGAAGCTTGCAGATAGAGCACAGGCCACATAAACCACTTCCCAGTCTTTGTACAGAAGCCCACCTGGGACACATGTAAACAGCATCAATGCTGACTCAGGAGCATGAAAGGCCGGGCTCAGATTGGAAAGACTAGAGGTAGCATTGGCCGCCCGCCATTGCCCATTTCCAGAAGCCCCCACCTCTCACCAAAGAGTGATTTCCACATGGGGGGCACAGATGCAACCATCGTTGGGGGAGCCCCAATGTCTCTTGATGGGAGGCATTTTCCACCCTAGATGTTTTTTGCTCTCTCCACACCTTGGAGACTCAGTGGGGGAGTCTTCTCTGGGGACTCGGGGAGGGCCTCCCTGGGACTCGCAGGATTTCCAAGCTAGATGACAACATGACAGGTGGAAACAGGCCCATTCCTTCGCCAGGGGCCCCAAGCTCCATCCCAGGAGATGAGAAGAGGCTCTTCTCATTGGTCAGTGGATCCCTGAGGGGACAGAGGCTCAGCACTGAAGGCTGAGAAGGATCTGCCACTTCGCTCAGTGGCCTCAAGCCAGACATCTTCCCTACAGACTTGCAGTGATTCTCCATCAGCATTTAGGGCTGTGGCCACCAACCTGGGTGTTGGTCTGTAGGAACTTTTCATTTCTGACCTTCCATAACTGAGTTCTCTTCCTAAATGTGGAATGCCTTGTACTCCATGTTACTCTCTCCCCAGAAAGAATGTGTGGCTTGTCTGCTCTCCAGCCCTGTCATGGAGATTGATAATCCTTAGGGAGCAAGAGGAGAGGGAAAGAACAAAGTATGAGACCACCTAGGTGCTACTGGTTGAGGTTCCATTTGCCAGTGAAGGGACTTCACTCAGCCGAGGGGGCAACTCAGGGAAGTCAGCCGAGGGAGGGCATTAGAGTAGAGAGAACTGAGCTCACCCAGTAAATGACCCCTTCACTAACTCATTCATCTAATATTTATTTCACACCTACCATCAGTTCTCTCTGTTTCATGGCCAGGAGTAGACAGCACGGCCAAGCTCCTGGGTTCATGATGCTCACATTGCTGTGGGGTGGGAGAGAGAGGCAGAACATGAATGAATGAATGAGAGAATGAATGAATGAGTGAATGATGGAATGAGTGAATGAATGAATGAATGAATGTATGAATTAGTGAGTGAATCCTTAGCACTTGGTGAAAGTGCCATGCACAGAATGAAATGAATGAACGTGGAACGTTGTCATTTGGAGTGTACAGGAGGGAACGTCTCACTGAGACCTCATCAGAGAGATCACATTTAAACTCCGATCTTAGAGACAAGAGGGAGTGAGCCCTGGGGAGTGTATTGAAAGGAACTTTCATGGACTTAGGACATTGGGGATGACCCTAATGTGAGAATGAGCTTGGTGTGTTCCAAGAAGTCCATGGACCTGCCATATGGTGAGGGCTGGTCAGAATCCAGAGAGATTTCTAAATGCCCTTGTGCTTGTAAGGAAAGTGAGTCCTGTGGTTGGGAGTGGACTTATACCTTGGGTCAGGTCCAGCAATTATCTTTCTAAATCCTCTCTAATTGCCTGAACCACTTCTATCAACAACTGAGAAAAGAGGAGTGTTAAACACCCCACTGTGGCCGTGGATTTGCCTACCTGTCCATTTATTTCCGCGACTCTTCCTCCATGTATATTTGCAGGAATATTACTGGGAGTGGTTAAGTGTAAACTGATTATATATTCCTGGTAAATTTAAAATGCTATAAATTTACCTGCTTTTTTCCTACATTTTATGCTTAATGTTTTCCGCTGATTTTTCCCAAAGACTAATTTTGTCTAATTTTAATATAGTTATACCACATTTCTAACAGTGATTGCTTGGTATATTTCTACATTGTTTAATTTCAAACTCCATGAATTGTTAACATTGAGATGTGTCCTTTGTAAATTTCAAACAATTCGCCTTAGAAAGTAAGACTTTCTGACAATCTTTTGTTCATGTTTGAGCAGTTCTTCCAATCATATTTTTGTTATTATTACGTTGTGTTTTCCTGATTCCCTTTTTTTCCCACTGACTTCTGTGGTTTTCTATTTCAAACATTCTATTTTTGATCTATGTCGTTTAGGAATACATATATGGTGTACTCATCCTGAAGTTGTTACATATTTTTAAAATTGAAATTAATCATTTCAGAGATTAAACTGCAAATATAAAAACATATTTCCACTCTTCCTGTGTAAGAACAGGATTTTAGAGCATATTTAGTACATATGTTTGTATTTACTTATATGATGTTTTGTTTTGTGGTATACATAATTCTATCTTTTTCAGAAATTACACAGGGGCGTGTTTTCATACACTATCGTATGGTCCATATTCATTTTTGGCATAGCCATATTTTTAGTTCTTCCTCTGCTCTTAGTTATTGTCAGAATCTTCGACACCCCATCTGGTTTCACTTTCTTTATCTTTGAGGCACGGTCATCAGAATTTCCTTTAGGGTCAGTGAGAAAAGCTTTCTTTGACCTTTTGTCTTTCAGTTCTGTTTCTTTCCTGCGTTGATCTTGGACAGTAACTGTACTATGTAAGGAATTGTCGGTGGCTGGCGACGGTATCTTAGCTGGGTAAAGATGCTATTCTACTGGCTTATGTTTTCCTTTTTTCTGTGGGGAAGACAATGCTTGGCTCCCTATAAATCCTTACCAGCTGATCCTTTTCCTCTGGCTAATTTTAAGGGTTGGTTGTGCTTTTATGCTGCTTTTCTGTAATGTTGAACGTGAGGTGTGTTTACTTCATTCTGCCTGGCATTCACTGGATTTCTTGAACCTGTGGATTGATGGATGTGTCTACTTCCTCCAAATAATCAACAATTGCCTCTTTAAAGATTGCTTCTGACCTGTTTTCTCGTTCTTTCTTTTTGGAACTCAAGTTAGGAGCATTCTAAAACTGTTGTCAATTTTTACCCTGTCACAAAACTGCTCTTTCTTGTTTCAGTTATTTGCTTTTTCTGTGCATTAATATTGATGGTTTCCTCTGTCATAGAGGATAAATACTCTCTTCACTGTTGTGTACACAACATTTTAACTAGTTATTCTGGTTTAAATTTAATATTGACTTTATCTATATATCACAATTGATTACTGTGTACAGACTTTCTTTTCTATTAGTATAAATTTATGAGGTACACTTGTAATTTTGTGACATGAGTATGTTGCAGAGTAGTGAAGTCAGGACTTTTACTATATCCATCACCCAAATACCGTACATTGTACTCATTAAGCAAATTCTCATCACTCACCCACGTCCCGCCACCCTCCAGCCTTCTAGCCTCCGCTGTCCGTCATTCCACACTCTACGTCCATATGTACACATTACTCCCCTCCCATGTAGAGTGAGAAGATGTGGTATTTGTCTTTCTGAGTGGTTTTATGTAAAATAATGGCGTCCAGCTCCATCTATGTTGCTGCAAAAGACATGGTTTTATTTTTATGACCAAATAGTATTTCGTTGTGTATACACGCATCCTTTTTTTAATCCAATCATTCATTCACAGACACTTAGATTGATTTCATATCTTTGCTATTGCAAACAGTGCTGCAATAAACATACAGGTGCAGATATTTTTTGAGTAGATACCCAGCAGCGGGACCCCTAGATCGAATGGTGCTTCTATTTTTGGTTCTCTGCCAAATTTCCATACTGTCTTCCATAGAGGCTATACTAATTTACATACCGGCCAACAGTGTATAAGAGTTTCCTTTTCTCTGCATCCTTGCCAACACCTGTTATATGTTTCACTTTTTCTTTTTTTCTTTTTGAGATGGAGTCTTCCACTGTCACCCAGGCTGGAGTGCAGTGCCGCCATCTCCACGCGCTGCAACCTCCACCAACCAGGTTCAAATGATTCTCCTGCCTCAGCCTCCTGAGTAGCTGGGATTACAGAACCACACCACCATGCCCAGCTAATCTTTTGTATATTTAGTAGAGATGGGGTTTCACTATGTTGGTCAGGCTGGTCTCAAACTCCTGACCTCATGATCCACCCGCCTCAGCTTCCCAAAGTGCTGGGATTACAAGCGTGAGCCACCACTCCCCACCAGCATTTTTAGTAATAGCCATTCTGACTACTGTAAGATGATATCTCATTGTGGTTTCAATTTGCATTTCTCTGATGATTAGTGATGTTCATACGCTGTTTGGCCATTCGTATGTCTTCTTTTGAAAAATGTCTATGTATATCCCTTTGCCCACTTTTTAATGCTATTATTTGAGGGGTTATGTTTAGTTGTTTGAGTTGCCTAGAAATTCTGGATGTTAGTCCTCTGTTGGGTGCATAGTTTGCAAACATTTCCATTCATTCAGTGGGTTGTCTGTTCACCCTGCTACTATTTCCTTTGCTTGGCAGAAGCTCTTTCGTTTATTAAGTCCCATTGGTCTAGTTTTATTTTTATTGCCTGTGCTTTTGAGGTCTTAGTGATGAATTCTTTGCCCAGACCAATGCCCAGAAGAGTTTCTCTTTGGGTTTCCACCGGTGATTTTATAGTTCTGGATTTACATTTAAGCTGCTAATTACCTTAAGTTAATTTATGTGTATGATTACAGATACAGGTCCAGTTTTATTCTTCTGCATATGGCTATTTAGTTTTCCCAGCACCTTTTATTGAAAAGGAAATCTTTCTCCAGTGTATGTTTTGTTAACGTCGTCAATGATTATTCACTGTAGATATGAGGCTGTATTTCTGGGCTCTCTATTCTGGTCTATTGATCTCTGTTTCTGTGTCTATACCAGCACTGTGCTATTTAAGTTACTATAGCCTTAGAGCATAGTTTGAAGTCAGATAGCGTGATGCCTCCAGGTTTCTACATTCACCTAGAATTGCTTTCTCTATTAGGATCTTTTTTGGTTCTGTATGAATTTTAGGATTGCTTTTTCTAATTCTGTGAAAACTGGTGTTACTATTTTCATATAAGAATTGCACTGAATCTGTAGATTGCTTTAGGCAGTATGGTCATTTTAACAATATTAATTCTTATGATCCATGAGCGTGGGATTTTTTTTCTTTTTTTTTTTTGTATTATCTATAATTGCTTTCATTGGTGTCTTACACCTTTCCTGGTACAGATCTTTCACCACCTTGGTTAAATGTATTCCTGAGTGTTTTAATTTTGCGTATCTATTGTAAACGGCATTGCCTTCTTGATTTGGTTCTCAGCTAGATCATTATAGGTGTAGAGAAATGCTACCGGCTTTTACATATTGATTTTGTATTCTGAAACTTTACTTAGTTCATTTATCAATCATAAGAATTTTTGGCAGGGTCTTTAGGATTTTCTAGATTTAAGATCATAGCATCAGAAATAAAAATAATTTTACTTCCTCTTTTCTAATTTGGATTTTTACTTCTTCCTGTTGCCCAATAGCTCTGACAAGGCTTCCAGTACTATGTTGATAGGAAGTGGTGGATGTCCGTGTCCTTGTCTTGTGCCAGTTCTCAGAGGAGTGCTTTTAACTTTTCCTGTTCAGTATGATGTTGACTCTAGATATGTCATCTATGGTTTTTATTATTTTGAGGTATGTTCTTTCTATGCCTAAGTTTTTGAGGGTTTTCATCAGGTAAGGATGTTGAATTTCTTTTCAGATGCTTTTCTTTATGTCTATTGAGATGATCATATGGTTTTTGTTCTGGATTCTGCTCGTTCTTCTAAGTGGATGAGACATGCCAGAAAAGCATTTAGTCAGCCATCTTGGAAACAAGCATCTCAGATGTTTTCTTTCTCTATAGCTCATTCTTTCTTACCAGTGTTTTCAATTTTGTACTTAATTTTGTAAAGAGAGTAAATGATATAATTTCCACATATGTTTCCTCTGCCAAATCAGACTCACTATGCTTCCTTTCCTTGTATGCATAACCTACCCAGCAATACACACAAACATTTATTGCTTTGGAGAATTAGTTTGGGAACATTTTTGAAATGTACAAAAAAATGTATATCTTCAAAAGAAATTTCTTTCTGTGGCAAAAGACTTCTGAAGGTGCTCATGATGATATAGGGAGAAGAGGGGTTCTGGACAGGAAGAATTTTATGAAGGTGAGATGGGGAAATAGCTCCATTTCAGAGCTTCTGGGGAGAGAGGGGCCTGGCCCACATGGAAAGGTCTCTGATCTTACCCCCACCCTCCAGCCCCTGTTCTCCAGAACTATACTGTGGAGAGTTCCATCAGGATTGTTGTGGCTGGTCTGGTCTTCCTGGCTCTTTTGGCAATGCTGGCTAAGACCTGGTGGAGACATGAGGGGCCACAGGTGGAAATGGAAGAAACATGACTGAAGCTGGCTGGAGTGAATGGCGCGACATTCTGTCTGTGGGAGATTGGCCAGATGGGTTTCAAGTGTGTTGTATCAGCTGTGACTTTTAGTAATGTTCTTGCTACCACAATATCCACTCGTCCATCCCGAATAATTGTGATGAAATATTGTCCTTGGGATAATATTCATTTGCTAAAGACAGGGATGATACCTCAAGGTGCCACTATATACAACGAGGGATCCACAAAAGTCCATTCAGTAAAATGTAGTTGGCATCTTAGGGTAGGTTGATTCCACCTCTAAAAAAGTAGGTACAACATCAGGTTGATTTTTCCGAAGAAAAGTGGTGATTGGCCATCTTTAGTCTCAATGTAAACGGTAATACTGATGAGTGTGGAAAAGGCAGGGAAGAGGATTGACAATAAGTGACACTCATTGTTTTCATCTGAGCTTTGAGACTGAAAGAGGAACACAGGAGTGAGATGTATGGGAACAAACCCCTTCTTTTTCCAGCTAAACAGAGTGGAAGTTGGACACTGAGTTTTGGCGTACAGCAAAATCCTAAGTCCATTGTTGGGTTGAACACGGCCATGTTGTACATCCTGGTTTCACAGCAGACACTGGAGGAAAACAGCCTGTATTCATAAGAGGCTGTCCCTCGGGTCACTGCCCAGAATATCCGGAGTTGGTGCTCACAGGGTTGGGAACTCTCCTGGACCAGACAGGCTCTGGATATGGGGGGGTACCAAGCTCCCCGGGGCCATGCCTCCACAGCTCTCTTCTCACCTCATTCTTGACCATTTCCCAAACCTCTGACCTCACCTTCATTCATCCATGGTGAACACGCTAAAGCTGGCCTTCAAAGCTTGAGACAGAGGAAAATTGGGCTTCATCTCTGGGAACTAAATTGGGGAGTGGAGACTCAGTTCTGGCCTGACAGGAGGGAGAAGACCCTGGATCCCAGTGTGGATGGGAAGAAGTATGTGTTTCTCTTTTGTGCTTGGACCCTGTGTCCAAGCATGTCTGAGATGTGATGAAGATGAATCTTCCTTTCCTTGTCTATTTTCTCATGCCAGAGAATTGGAATCTTATATTCCATTAACTCTTTCTGTTCTGTTCATCCAGATTCTATGAAGGAGAAAGGAAAAGATGTGATACTGTAATTTTGCTCCATTTGTCTAAAATGAGTAGGCTGCAACTCCTCTTGAAGTGATACCTTTTCTAGCTCTTGTTGGAGGTGTCTCAGGACTCATTACTTCGGGGAACCTGCAACTGTGTCAGTCTGGGGAAACTGCAAATATTCTTGTCTTACATTTGTCTCCAGCCAATTGTGATGGACTCCAGTGACCTGCAATTGCTGTTATTGCAGGTAAAATGTACCTGAGTCAGGCCACAGTTCTCCTGGACTATGAGCCCCTGGCCATGTTCCTGAGGCAATTCTGTTCATCTAAATATAATAATAATAACACACTAAAAATGGCAAGCCATTGTTAATTCCTGAAGTCTCATTTGAAAATTACTAAATGTCTGTTATTTTTTGGTGTTTACATTATATGTAGACAGATAAACTACACACACACACACACACACATGCACACAGAAGAATGGATTGGTTCATGTAGAAAAGTAAATAATTCAAGATGAAAGGATGAAATGTCATGGCACCTACTATTCTATTTTAGATAAAGGGTCTATGAAAAGATTGATTTCTTTTTATGTTTTATTTGTTGACATTTGAACACAAACTATGTAAGTGAGGGAGTCGATTTGAAAGGGAGAAGAGCAAGTTCAAACACATTCAGGTGAGGTCATGCTTTACATGTTTTAATTGAAATGATCCATCTTGGGAGTAGATCAATAACTGAGATGGTGCCAGGAATGTTAAAAAGCTTTTGTCAGTCCTAAATATTGACAAATAAAATTTAATTAAAGTCTTAGAAGAAAACACAAAGGAAAACTTCACAACATCGGATTTGGCAGTGATTCTTTAGATGTGACAACAACGGCACAGGCTACTACAGAAAAAATAAACAAGTTAGACTTTATGAAAATTTTGAAATATTGTGACTCAAAAGACAACATCAGTTACTTCACATGGCAAGGAAAAAGAACTTTTAAGACGATATTATCAAAGTAAAAAGACAACCCACAGAATGGGAGAAAATGTTTTCAAACCACACCACCTGTAAGGGATTAACATCCAGAATATACAGACAACTCCTAAAACTCAATCACAATAAACTCAATTCAAAAATGGGCAAAGTACTGAAACAGACATTTCTCCAAAGAACATACGCATGAAAAGATATTCAGCATCACGAATCATTAGGGAAATACTAACTAAAACTACACCAGATGCCATTTCATACCCCTTAGGATGGGTATCATCAAAACAACAACAACAACAACAACAACAAAGTTTCTATACATTAACAACAAACTATCCAAACAAGTTTACAAGAAAATAAGCCCATTTGCAATAACTACAGAAAACAAAACATGCAGGAATAAATTCACCCAAGGAGTAGAAAGATCTGTATGCAAAAGCTATAAAACATTGATGAAAAAACTCAAGAAATAAACAAATAAATCGAAAGATATTCCATGTTCACGGATCAGAAGGATTAATGTTGTTAAAATGTCCATTCTATCCAAAGTGATTCAATGCAACCATTATCAAAAATCCAATGACATTTTTTTTACAGAAATAGAAAAAACAGTCCTAAAATTCATGTGGAACCACAAAAGATCTCAAATAACCAAAGCCATCTAGAGGGAAAGGAACAAAGTTGGAAGCATCACATTACCTAAACACAAACTACATTACAAAATTACAGTAATTAAAACAACACAGTACTTGCATAAAAACAGACACATAGACCAATGGAAGTGATTCATAGCCCAGGAAAAAAATGCATGCATTTAGGGTCAAACAATTTTTGGGATGTGTCAAGAACACACAATGGAGAAGGAACAGTCTCTTTAATAAATGGGATTGGGAGACTGCATGTCCACATGCAGAAGAATGGAAGTGGACATTTGCCTCACAAAACATACAAAGTCAACTCAAGATAGATTAATGACTTAAATGTAAGATGAAAGACTATAATCCCAGCAATTTGGGAGGCCAAGGTGGGCAGATCACCTAAGGTCAGGATTCCAAGACCAGCATGGCCAACATGGTGAAATCCCGCCTCTACTAAAAATACAAAAACAGCTGGGTGTGGTTGTGGGTGCCTGTAATCTCAGCTACTCGGGAGGTTGAGACAGGAGAATCACTTGAACCCAGGAGGTAGAGGTTGCAGTGAGCCGAGATCGCACCACTGCACTCCAGCCGGGGCAACACAGTGAGACTCCATCTTAAAAAAAAAAAAAAAACTACTAAAAGAAATCAAGGGAAAACTCCACTGGCTTGGGCAAAACCATTTTGGATATTAACCCAAAGGCCCAGGCAACAAAAGCAAAAGTAGACAAATAACATTATATCAAATTGAAAGTTTCTGCAAAGAAAAAAAAAACTCAACAAGTGGAAAGACAACCTATGGAATGGGAGAATATATTTGCACCCATACATCTAATAAGGAATTAATATCCAAAATATATAAGAAACTCAAACAACTCAATGGTAAGAAATCAAATAACCCAACTTAAAAAAATGGGCAAAGTATCTGAATAAACATTTCTAAGAATAAGACAAATCACCAAAAGGTATATGAAAAAATGATTAGCATTACTAAACATCAGCTAAATAAAAATTAAAACTAGAATGAGATATCACCTCACACCTCTTAGAATGACCATTAACAGTCTGGGCATGGTGGCTCATGCCTGTAATTCAGGCACTTTGGGAGGCCGAGGCAGGGAGATTACCTGAGGTCAGCAGTTCGAAACCAGCCTGGCCAATATGGTGAAACCCCATCCCTACTAAAAATACAAAAATTAGCAGAGTTTGGTGGCGCACACTTGTAGTCCCAGCTACTCTGGAGACTGAGGCAGGGGAATCGCTTGAACCCAGGAGGCAGAGGTTGCAGTACACCGAGATTGTGCCACTGCACTCCAGCCTGGGTGACAGAGCAAGACTGAGTCTCAAAAAAAAAAAAAAAAAAAAGACCATTATCAAAAACATAAAAAATAACAAGGGTTAACGAGGATGTGGAGAAAAGGGAACATTTGTATGCAGTTGATGGGAATGTAAATTAGCACAACCATTATGGAAAACAGTCTGGAAGTTCCTGAAAAAATTAAACATAGAATTCCCATATGTGTCTGCAATCCAACTACTGCGCATGTATCCAAAGGAAGTGGAATCAGTATGTTGAAGAGATATCTGCATTCCCATGTTTACAGCCGCGTTATTCATAACAGCCAAGATGTGGAATCACCCTTACTGCCCATCTATGGGTGCATGGACAAAGAAAACGTGGTATACGATAGGAACGTAATGAAGTACTATACAACCTTTACAACAAAGAAGGAAGTCCTCTCATTTGTGACAATGTGAAAAAACTTAGAGGACATTATGTTAAGGGAAACAATCCAGGCACAGAAAGACAAATGCCACATGATCTCATGTGTGGAGTGTAAGAAGTGGAACCTAGAGGAACAGTAAAATGGTCGTCGAAAGAACCTGGGATGGAGAGAGATTGAAGAGATGTTGGTCAAAGGATGCAAAATTTCAGTTAGAAGAAATCGGTTCAAGAGATCTATTGTATGTCTTGGTGACTCCAGTTAATAGCAACATATGGTGTATTGAACATTACTAAGAGATTAGATTTTACATGTTCTCACCACACACACAAAACATACAAGTATGTGAAAAAATAAATATGATAAAGAGGTTGTTTCATCCATTCCACAATGTGTACCTATATGAAAACATCATGATGGACACCACAAATACCCTTTTCCTCATTAATTAAATTTGTTTTGGTTTTTTTTTTGAGATGCAGTTTCACTGTTGTTGCCCAAGCTGAGGTGCAATGGCGTGATCTCCGCTCACTGCAACCTCTGCCTCCCAGGTTCAAGCGGTTCTCCTGACTCAGCCTCCCAAGCAGCTGGGACTACAGTTGCGTACCACCCCGTCCGGCTATATTTGTGTTTCTAGTAGAGACAGGGTTTCGCCATGTTGGCCAGGCTGGTCTCGAACTCCAGACCTCAGGTGATCCACCCGCTTCGCCCTCCCAAAGTGCTAGATTTCAGGCTGAGACACCACACCCAGCCTGTACATTGACTTTCTGCCCTTAAACTGTGCTGAAGTTTGTTTCTCAGATGTAGGAGCCTTTGGGCAGAGACTATGGGGTTTCTAGGTATAGAAATTATCTCATCTTCAAACAGAGGTAATTTGACTACCTCTCTCTGCTACTCTCTTCTTACTTGGATGCCTTATAATTCTTTCTCTTTCCTGATGGCTCTGTCTAGGACTTCAAGTACTATGTTGAATAGGATGGTGAGAGTGGGCATTCTTGTCTTGTTTCACTTATGAAGGGAACTTCTTCCAGCTTTTACTCATTCAGTATGATGTTGGTTGTGGGTTTGTCACAGGCGGCTCTTATTATATTGAGTTATGTTTCTTCAATGCTTAGCTTGTTGAGGGCTTTTAACATGAAGAAATGCTTAGTAAAAAGTATGTTCTACATGTGTGTTGAGAAGATCATGTGGTTTTTGTTTTTAGTTTTGTTTAGGTGATGAATCACATGTATTGATTGTGTATGTTCAACCAACCTTGCACCCTAAGAATAAAGTTGACTTGATCATGGTGGATTCACTTTTTGATATGCTGCGGGATTCAGTTCTTAGTATTTTTTGTGGATTTTTGCCTCTATGTTCATCAGGAATATTGGCATGTAGTTTTCTTTTGTTTAATGTTCTTTTCTGTCTTTAGTATCAGGGTGATGCCAGCCTTATAGAATGAGTAAAGGCCACCCTGGGCAAACAGTGAGACCCATCCCTTTTTAAAAATTATGAGTTTTACAAATTTAAAATGCATAGTGAAAAAGTTCTTACAAACTCCAGAAAGGTAGGTGTAAATAAGAGACATTTGTAAGAATGACAGCACATTAAATGTGTAGATTTCAACCTTCAGTTATTGCAATATTCCAGTATCAAGTTGGAGGATGTTATCAGTCTGATATTTTTTCCTCAAATGAGAGAGAGAAAGAAAGACACACAAACAACACAGGGAGAAAAAAAGCACACGTTACAGAGAGACAAAAAGGGAGACAGGGAACTGTGAATTTGGACTCTTGTGTCATAAGACAAATTCTAGATAACACGACCAGACCTTCAATTGACATATTGTGTTTTTGCTAATAAGGTGGAATTCTATGATGCGAAATAACTATATAGTCTTTTCTACTGGGATTTAAATCATTTTATCTGTTTCTGGCTTAACAGGAAAAATACAACCATGGAAAATTATGATGATTTATTTAATACGATTGCTCTATAGTGTTAATAAAACCTATTAGGTATTTTGCATATTACATATCAAGGAGAGTTTGAATCTCAGGTAGAAACAAAAAAAAATACATCAAAAGTTCCTCATGTGAGTGCAGAATTCAATCGTCCCGTGCAGGGGTAAGTGAGTCTGAGATGTGTTTTGAGCCTGGCCGTTGCGCATGATGTGAAGTGACAAGTCTAGTCTGCAGTTTTCAGAAACCCTCATTCCTCCCTTGACTGATTCACCACTTGAACCTCATATGACGTAGAAGAAGCCTACCTATGTCCCCTTCACATGTTGTGGTCAATGTGTCAACTGCACGATCCGGGCCCCTCACCACATCCTCTGCACCGGTCAGTCGAGCCGAGTCACTGCGTCCTGGCAGCAGAAGCTGCACCATGTCCATGTCACCCACGGTCATCATCCTGGCATGTCTTGGTGAGTCCTGGAAGGGAAGGAGCACCAGGGTTACACTATGGGCCTGCAGATTGGGTGTCTCCCCAGCAGAGAGCCATGTTCTGAAGCAAGTGAGTGGTGAGGATGAGTTAATTTTCAGTCCAGCGTGGCGCCCAGTGGCTCAGGAGGAAAGGGTAGGTTGCTGCCGAGATGAATAGTTCATCATGATCTTTCTTTGCAGGGTTCTTCTTGGACCAGAGTGTGTGGGCACACGTGGGTGAGTCCTTCCCCAAATGATGGGTTGCCATCTTCACCCCAATACAAGTGAATTTTCCGGAAATGGGAGGGAGGCAGCACAGAGGGTGGGCTGATGGGCTGACCATGGGAAGGCCTGGGGGGAGTCTCTCATGAACTAGTAAGAGGAGATCCTGGGAGTCTCTCATGAACTAGTAAGAGGAGATCTTGGGAGTCTCTCATGAACTAGTAAGAGGAGATCCTGGTATGCTCAGCCTTCTGTTTTGTCTTAGCCCTCCCCAGCCTTTCTTCCCCATGGCTGAGTTGAGCTCTGTGTGGCCCAGGCGGGATACTGAGGTGCTCAAAGCTGGGGTGTGTGGGGGGATGTGGTGTCACCGACAGAGGAGGGAAGGGTAGCAGTGTTAGGAACAGCAGGTCCTCTGAGGACAAGAGGGTAACTCACACCCTCCAGCGTTTCCATGACGGTAGGGGCTGCAGTGTGGCTGCTGTCATTCTGCCAGAAGAGGTGGGGGAACCACAGCCACGACCCTGCCATTCCAAATCCTCTGATGGAGCTCAGTTGTTTATTGTGGTTCAGGCATTAGCTAATATTCCATTCACAAAGGTCATACCCTCCACCCCATGTCTACTTTGTGTTGTTTGGTGTAACTAATCTTGCAGTATTAAAATCTAGTAAGAGTCCCTTACTCAGCACCTGCTCAGTTCTCAACTGACACTTTTGTTGTAGGGAGACGCCACGTCTATGCGGGATGGGTCCTTCCTGTAGCCCCAGGCACCCAGGTGTGGTAGGAGCCTTAGAAAGAAGAAATGGGGAGAATCTTCTGAGCACAGGGAGGGAGGGGCAGCTCAACATACTCCTCTCTGAGGCGGCATCTCCTTCTCCCCAAGGTGGTCAGGACAAGCCCTTCTGCTCTGCCTGGCCCAGCGCTGTGGTGCCTCAAGGAGGACACGTGACTCTTCGGTGTCACTATCGTCGTGGGTTTAACATCTTCACGCTGTACAAGAAAGATGGGGTCCCTGTCCCTGAGCTCTACAACAGAATATTCTGGAACAGTTTCCTCATTAGCCCTGTGACCCCAGCACACGCAGGGACCTACAGATGTCGAGGTTTTCACCCGCACTCCCCCACTGAGTGGTCGGCACCCAGCAACCCCCTGGTGATCATGGTCACAGGTCAGAGGGCTCCTGTCTGGGCTTCTCCTTGTCCCACCTCCTGAGTCCCAGAGCTTCTGGTGGGGGTGTCCACCAGAGTCCGATCATCCAGGCCCCAACTATATTTGGGGTAAAGGGGGATTGAATACAGGGGAATGGGTGCTGTGTTGGAAAGAATAACTGTCCCCATCGATGGCCACATTGTAATCCTTGGAGCCTGTGACTATGTTATAGGGCAGGGGACTGAAGGGGAAGATGGAGCTCAGGTTGTTGATGAGTTGACCTTGAGATGGGGAGATGGCCTGGACTCTCCCACTGGGCTCAGTGTAATCACAAGGGTCCATATGAGTGGAGAAGGAAGAGGAGAATGGGGATTAGAGCAGCATCGTGGGATACTCCACCAGCCACTGTGGGCTTTGAAGGTGGAGGAAGACCACGAGCCACGAAGGGGCTGGAGAAATCAATGGAACTGATTCTCCCGAGTCTCCAGAGGGAATGCAGCCCTGCAGATGCCTTGATTGTAGCCCAGGAAGAACAGGGTCTGATTTCTGTCTCCAGAAGTGGAAGGGGTCAGTGTGTTCTCTCCTGCCGCCATGTTTGTGATAATTTTCTCCAGCAACAACAGGAAACCAACACAGGAACCCAGGTGAAGGACAAGTTAAAAAACCAAACAAGAAGGTTGGCTACCCTGAGATCAGCAAGGGTGCACTGCTGATGCCACCACCAGGCTGGAACCACATAGGGAGGGATCGACAGGAAGAGTTGGGGGTGGAGGGTGAGAGAGAGAGAGAGAGCACTAGGCCATAGAGCAGGGCAGTGAGTTCTCAGCTCAGGTGGGAGGGGAGCTGTGACAAGGAAGAACCTCCCTGAGGAAACTGCCTCTTCTCCTTCCAGGTCTATATGAGAAACCTTCGCTTACAGCCCGGCTGGGCCCCACGGTTCGCGCAGGAGAGAACGTGACCTTGTCCTGCAGCTCCCAGAGCTCCTTTGACATCTACCATCTATCCAGGGAGGGGGAAGCCCATGAACTTAGGCTCCCTGCAGTGCCCAGCATCAATGGAACATTCCAGGCCGACTTCCCTCTGGGTCCTGCCACCCACGGAGAGACCTACAGATGCTTCGGCTCTTTCCATGGATCTCCCTACGAGTGGTCAGACCCGAGTGACCCACTGCCTGTTTCTGTCACAGGTGAGGAAAGCCAATGTCTGTCCCATGTCCTATGGTCCTAGAGCCTTAGCTGAGGAGCTTCCTGCTGATGATGGAGAGAAGCATGGACAGATGTGGAGAGAAGATGCAGCATGGTGTGAGGGTGGGATCAGGGCACAGGATGGCAGACAGGGCACCTCCAAACCCTCCTGCATGGCCTGCATGGAAGCTTGCAGTAAGGGCTCCGGGTACCCAGGCAGATGGAGAAAGTGGTCAGGACAGACCCAGAGGAGGGAGACTGGGCTCAGTTTGGGGAGATCAGAGGTTCCCTCAGCCCCTCAACCTTACCCATTTCCCAGAAGCCCACCCTGGCCTCTCACCTACACAGAGATGTCATCACCAGCAACCCCTACACTTTTTCTTTTCCTTTGAAAAAATGCTGATTGAGGTTAAATATACCTATATAATTTATCAACTTTACCATTTTTAAGTGTAAAATCTAGGGATCATAAATACCTTTATATGCTGTGTGCGGTGGCTCACGCCTGTAATCTCAGCATTTTGAGACGCCAAGGCAGGTGGATCATTTAAAATCAGGGGCTGGAGACCAGCCTGGCCAACATGGGGGAACCAATCTTTACTAAAAAGACAAAAAAAATAAAATTAGCCAGGCATGGTGCCAGGCACCTATAATCCCAGCAACTTGGGAGGCTGAGGCGGGAGAGTGGCTTAAACCCAGGAGGAGGAGGTTGCAGTGAGCTGAGATCATGCCACTGCACTGCAGTCTGGTGACACAGAGAGACTCTGTCTCTAAATAAATAAATAAATACTTTTATATTCTTCTTTTGTTACCCTCCACCCCTTCCTTCCTAACCTCTGGTATCCACCATTCTACTCTCTACCTTCATGAGGTCCACCTTTTACATCCTGCATGTGAGTAAGAAATGGCAATCCTTGTAATGACCTCCAGTCCATCCATGTGGCTGCAAATGACAGGACGTTACTCTTTGTATGGATGAGTTGTCTCCATTGTGTGTATGTACTACATTCTCTCTATCCATTCATCCACTGATGGGCAGGTAGGTTGACTCCACATCTTGGCTACTGTGAACAGTGCTGGAACAGTCATGGGAGTGCAGATGTCACTTCAATACACTGAAGTCCTTTTCTTTGCATTTACACCCACTAGTGGAATTGCTAGATCCTCTGGATGTTCTCTTTTTAGGTTTTGTTTTATGCTTTTTGTTTTTTTGACATAGCGTTTCACTCTTGTTGCCCAAGCTGGAGTGCAATGGCACCACCTGGGCTCACTGCAACCTCTACCTCCAGGATTCAAGTGATTCTCCAGCCTCAGCCTCCCGAGTAGTTGGGATTACTGGTGCCCGCCACCACGCCTGGCTGATTTTTGTATTTTTAGTAGAGACGGGGTTTCACCATGTTAGCCAGGCTGGTCTCGAACTCTTGACCTCCAGTGATCTGCCCACTTCAGCCTCCCAAGGTGCTGGGATTACAAGCGTGAGCCACAGTGCCTAATCTCTTTTTAGTTTTTAAGGAACTTCCATATTCTTCTCCTCTGTAATGGCTGTATTAATTTACATTCCTATCAACAGTGTATCAGGGTTCTCCTTTCTCCACCACCTTGCCAACATTTGTTTTGTCTGTCTCTGAGATAAAACCCATTGTAATGGGGTGAGATGATAGCTCATTGTGACTTCATTTGCATTTCTCTGATGATTAGTGATACTGAGCACTTTTTCATATATGCAATGTATATATGTTCATTTGTATGTTTTGTTCATTGAGAAATGTCTGTTCAGGTCTTTTACTAATTTTATAATTAAATTATTAGTTTTATTGAGGTGTTTGAGCTTCTTTTATATTCTAGTTATTAATCCCATCTCAGATGCATAGTTTGCAAATATTTGCTCCCATTCTGTGGGTTGTCTCTTCTTCACTTCATTGGTTGCTTCCTTTGCGGTGCAGAAGCTGCTTGATTTGATATAATCCCAATGGTCTATTTTTTTGTTGTTGTTGTGATTACTTGTGTTTTTGAGGTTTTAAACAAAATGTCTTCCCTCAGACAAATGTCCTGGAGCATTTCTCCAGTGTTTCCTTTTAGACATTTAATGGATTCAGGTCTTAAGTCATTAATCCATTTTCATCTGATTTTTGTGTATGGTGAGAGGTAGAGGTGCAGTTTCATCCCTCTGCATGTAGATATCCAGTTTTCCCTGCACCATTTATTGAAATGACTGTCCTTTCCAGATTGTAGATTCTTCGAACCTTTGTCAAAGTCCATTGGATGTAAATGGGTGGATTACATCCGTGTTCTTCATTCTGCTCCATTGTTTTATGTGCTTTTCTTTATGCCAATGTCATGTTGTTTTGCTTACTACAGCTCTGTAACATATTTTTAAGTCAGGTAGTGTGATGCTCCTGTTTTCTCCTTATACCTTGAAGTCTCAAGATAGTTGGTGTCACCTACAATGATTATGGAGAATGGGATGCCAGGACTCCCAGGGCCCAACATTAGATAATAGAATGTTGGCCATGAACCAACCTCAAAGATTTCCATTGAGTAGAAGACAGGCATCCTCATTGCCACACCTCTCTCCTGTCCCATGTTCTAGGAAACCCTTCTAGTAGTTGGCCTTCACCCACTGAACCAAGCTTCAAAACTGGTAAGTGAAGGACCCCTCTTATCTCTGCTTTTGGAAACCTGGGGAGGTAGAAGCCTTGGATTCAAGCGTTGGCTCAGCACCTGCCAGCTCTGTGATTGTGGGCCTGTCTTCCATTGTCTCTGAACCCCAGACACTCCAACAGGGAAAGGGATCTGGGCCCAGCACAGGGCTCAGTGAAATCTCTTAATCTCTAATTTTCTGCTGCTGAGACCTCAGGGTAGAAGGATGAGTGCAAATCAGACATTCTTCTCAGGAAAAATGCTGTGTTTGTTCTGCCTGCATTCCTAACTGGGAGGACAAATGCCTGGGGGCTTGAGAAGGGGAAGGAAGGGGAACATTTTTGAGGGTGGTGTATTTGTAGAGAAGTTCTACTTGCCAAGGAATGAGCTCCTGTCTGTCATGATCCAACCCTGGTTGACTTAGTGGAACAAGAGCTTTGCGGTAAGAGAGAACGTAGTTCATCCGTGCACATGACACTTCCACTTACTCGTTCAGCCACTGCCCCATGCTCAGACTGTGCAGTGTGGAACCTTTTCCTATGTTGCCATAACAAATTTCCACAAGCTTCGTGGATGGAAACCACATTTTTAAAAAATATCTCATGGTGCTGTAGCTCAGAAGTATGAAATGCATCATCTCACTGGGCTAAAATCAAGGTGACAGCAAGGCTGCCTTCCCTCTGAATGTTCCAGGCAAGAATCTGCTTCCTCACTTTTCCCAGCTCCTAGAGGCTCCCACATTCCTTGGCTCCTGGTCCCCGTCTTCCTCCCTCAAAGTCCACAAAGGCTGGTCACGCCTCTCACACGGCATCACTCAGACCCTTCTTCCTTGTCCACACCTCTTTCTCTGAATGCTGCTCTGCCTTCTTCCTCATCTTTTAAGGACTTTGGCATTCTATTGGAAACACCAAGATAATCCATCATAATTTCCCTAAAATCATCTAGGATACCCTCCTTTTAAGGTTAGCTGATTAGCAACCGTAATTCCATCTGCAATCTGCATTCCTTTTTTCCATGTAAAATAACATATTCACAAGATATGGCGACTAGGACAGGAACATTTTGGGGTGGGGCGGCATTCTTATCCTTTCCACAAATGGTAAACAAGGTGCATTTGGCCTCTGCTCTTGGACACTGATATTGCAAAGGATTAAATGGGAGGGCAGAAAATGAATGCACCAGTGGACCAATAAATGAATGATCCATTGGGAAGCATCTGTGCATGAGAATGATTGATTGATTGGTTGTTTTTATGAGACGGTGTCTCCCTCTGTGCCCCAGGCTGGAGTGCAGTGGCGGGATCTCGGCTCACCGCAACCTCCACCTCCCAGGTTAAAGCGATTCTCTACACTCAGCTTCCCGAGAGGCTGGGATTACACCCATGTCCCACCACGCCTGGCTAATTTTTTTTTGGTATTTTTTTTTTAGTACAGACAAGGTTTTACCATGTTGCCCAGGCTATCTCAAACTCCCAACCTTAAGGGATCCGCCCGTCTCAGCCTCCCAAAGTGCTGAGATTAGAGGCGTGAGCCAAGGCGCCGAGCCGTATTTTAAAAGAAATAATAGATAATGCTGAGTGTATAATTTCGGGTGACAGAGAAGTTCTCACTGATCAAATAATACTTGTGACCTTAATGAAAAAAATAGATCAACCCCTGGAAGATTGGCGGAAGGATTTTCCACACAGCTGTCAGCCGTGAAGGCACAAAGGTGAAAACAATGTTATGTGGAAGGAAGAGGCTCTGCCTGAAATGCTGGGAATGACATGGGGAGAATGACAAGACGACTGTAGAGAGACAGAGAGCACTCTGGGTACACAGGAAACTAAGGAGCAACAAGGAGTGTGTGTTTGACACTCACAGCCATTGGACTTACCTCGGGGCTAACTGGGAATCCCTACATGATGAATAGTGACTGACATGAAAATAAGGGAGGCCCAGGTGCATAACTGGAATCTAGGAGACTGTGGAAAAGGCAATTCCCGCCCCCCTGGTGAAATGTGGTGCTGATTTAGACACTAAATGAATGAAAGATGGACAAAAGATGTGTTTGTGAGGTAGAGTAATTTGCAGGGAGGGCTTGCCTGGTTTGATTTTTCCTAATTGTTTAATCTTCACTTCATTGATTTCTTTCTGAGATTTATTTTTCCTACATGTAAATCAATACTTGGCAGAGGAGTGAGAGATACATGAGGGGTGGTGCAAAGGAAGAGACCTATTATAATATAACACACAAGGTTCTGAACGGTGGCTCACACCTGTAACCCAACATTTTGGGAGGCTGAGGAGGCTGGATCAAGTGAGATCAGGAGTTCGAGATCAGCCTGGACAACATGGTGAAACCCCATCTCTACTAAATATACAAAAACTAGCTGGGGGTGGTGGCGCATGCCTGTAATACCAGCTATTCGGGAAGTTGAAGAAGGAGAATGGCTTCAACCAGGGAGGGAGAGGTTACAGTGAGCCAAGATCGCGTCATTGCACTGCACCCTAGGTGACAGAGTGAGACTCCATGGCAAAAAATAAAAATAAAGAATAAATAAATATAATATAACATACACGAATGACAAAGGCACACCAATTCCAATCATCATTTTTCTATTTCTCTATAATGACTTCTTTGATCCTTTATCCTATCCGTAAGAAAATCAGGCGAAAACATCTTCCTTATTTGGCTTTCTGTGAGCATGAGATCATATGGAAAATGTGAAACCCACCAGCACAGGTCCTGGAATAGAGAACGTGATCTGTTCATGGCACAAAACTTGCCCCTTCACCCAAATCCCCCACCTCACCCCTACTTCCAATCACATTAATGATACAGATAGATCATGGGGAGGTAAAAACTAATATTCTTTGGAGTTCAGATCGTAGACTCAGAGACCAGTGCCAGCACTATCTCCTGGTCACCTTTTGGAGTAATTCACAGAAAGACAGGCTGTATTGAAGCAACAGATGATGGAGGGGGTGGTCTTTCCCCCAGACTCTCGGGTGGAACAGCAGCCTAATATCTGACTCCCAAGATGACAAAAGTAGCATGTTGCCCACGAGCTTCATCATTATTTCCTGGCTGTTTGATATAAGACAGCTCAACCTCACTTATGTTGATTTCAATGTCACTGTTTTTTCCTTTTCTTGGAGAATGTAATTTGTTTGAGTCAAGAGGGTTGTGGATGTAGAAACTGTAAAGCACATTCACTGTGTATCAATCCCAGTCCAGTCTTCCCAGAGAAGACTCTAAACACCTCCCATACTGCACCTGGGCCTGTGCCAATTTCTATCACTCACCATCACTCCAGGGAGACAGAACACACAGGGAATACATTACATAGGCAGGTTCATTACTTATAGATAAGCAGCGAGTGACAACAGAAACCTTCCTTTCAGGGTGAGCCAGTCCCTCAAGGCTCAGAAAAACTGCTCAGGACACATGGAGTCACTTCATGTGCACTGTAGCTGGGGGAAGCCAGAAAGCAGCCCAGCCTGGGTTTTGTACCCTGGAGCCACAGGGAACACTCAGCTAAAGCACTGCATGATGTTCTCCTCCAGGAAGAACAGGAAGACAGCCCAGGCTGTTCTGAGACGTTCCTCCTGATCTCAGGATGTTGCTGTCTTAGCCTATTTTTGTTGCTATAAAAGAACACTTGAGCCTGGGTATCTTCTAAAGAAAAGAGATGTGTTTGGCTCACTGATCGGCACGCTGTAGTAGAAGCAGGACACTACCATCTATTTCTGGCTGCGGCCTCAGGCTGCTCCCACACTGACAGAAGAGAAGGGGGTCCTGCGTGTGCAGAGACCACAGAGATCACATGGCAAGAGAGGGAGAAAGGGGGTGTGATGGAGCTTCCAAGCTCTTTTTAAGAATCAACTCTCCAGGGTACTAATAGAGGGAGAACTTGCTAAACCCGTCCTCTGGGGACAGCATTAATCTATTCATGATGGATCCACCCCCATGACCAAAACACCCCTCCCAATAGGCACAACCTCCCACACTGGGGATTAAATTTCAAAGTGGGGTTTGGAGGGGTCAAACATTGAAACAATAGCAGTTGTATCATCAGCACATTCTATTGTTATTATGAAAACTATAACGGAGAAAGCAGGAGAAAGCTGGGTCTCCCGCCTCGTGGGTGCTTGTCCTAAAGAGGTGTTTTATGTGGTTGCCTGGCAACCAAGAAATGAGAGACAATCCACAAAGAGGAACTGCTATGGTTAGCTTCTTATTGGATTCTCATCTTCCTCCAGGTATCGCCAGACACCTGCATGCTGTGATTAGGTACTCAGTGGCCATCATCCTCTTCACCATCCTTCCCTTCTTTCTCCTTCATCGCTGGTGCTCCAAAAAAAAAAGTAAGCCTCACGAAGCAGAGGCCAGAGAACTCAGGGCCCTGTGCGGAAGCAGGATGGGAGCACGCAGGTGTGTGTTCCTCACTGGCAGGAAAGTCTCTGGCCCAAGGCAGGAGCCAGAGGCAGAGCTTTCTAGAGAGAGCACCAGACACCCTGCCCCTGCCTTCAGCTCACAGACCATTGCCTGATTGTGAACTGTATCCTCACGTCCCCTGCAGCCACTCACATCCAGGAGAAGATTCCATGACAGGCAGAAAGTGGGAGATAGAATCAATGGGATGGGAACTGACAGCTATTCATGGAATGGGGTCTTGCACTCAGAGAGATGGAATGTCTGAGTCTGGCTGTTGGCAGCTGAGGGACCTCAGGCACCTATGGCCTCCCCCTGTGTGTTGGTATCTGTTCATGAAATGAGGACCCAGAAGTGCCCTCCCAGCTGTTTTGATTGCTTCCGTCTCCTACAGATGCTGCTGTAATGAACCAAGAGCCTGCGGGACACAGAACAGTGAACAGGGAGGTAGGTCCTCCTAGCCCAGCCTCATGGATACAGTCTTATTCCCTAATAGTCCTGAAAAATGTGAACACCCTCCCTCACTCAGGATTTCCCTCTCTCCAGGACTCTGATGAACAAGACCCTCAGGAGGTGACATACGCACAGTTGGATCACTGCATTTTCACACAGAGAAAAATCACTGGCCCTTCTCAGAGGAGCAAGAGACCCTCAACAGATACCAGCGTGTGTATAGAACTTCCAAATGCTGAGCCCAGAGCGTTGTCTCCTGCCCATGAGCACCACAGTCAGGCCTTGATGGGATCTTCTAGGGAGACAACAGCCCTGTCTCAAACCCAGCTTGCCAGCTCTAATGTACCAGCAGCTGGAATCTGAAGGCGTGAGTCTCCATCTTAGAGCATCACTCTTCCTCACACCACAAATCTGGTGCCTGTCTCTTGCTTACCAATGTCTAAGGTCCCCACTGCCTGCTGCAGAGAAAACACACTCCTTTGCTTAGCCCACAATTCTCTATTTCACTTGACCCCTGCCCACCTCTCCAACCTAACTGGCTTACTTCCTAGTCTACTTGAGGCTGCAATCACACTGAGGAACTCACAATTCCAAACATACAAGAGGCTCTCTCTTAACACGGCACTTAGACACGTGCTGTTCCACCTTCCCTCGTGCTGTTCCACCTTTCCTCAGACTATTTTTCAGCCTTCTGGCATCAGCAAACCTTATAAAATTTTTTTGATTTCAGTGTAGTTCTCTCCTCTTCAAATAAACATGTCTGCCTTCATTCTTTAGGTGACTCTTTTTTTGGCTGAAAGTTTCCAGTGTTATCATTACCATGTCCAAATAACTCCAACTGTTCTCCACTGGGTTCTCACCCCTGGACTCTGAGCTTCTGGAAGCAGGGTGGAGCCTCATTTGTCTCTGAGACTCCAATTTCCATCCAAAGATGCAGCACATAAGAGGTTCCAAGGATCGTGAATCACATGAACAAGTGATATTCTTACTCTCTGCAGACCTGGAAAGCTGGCAGAGTCATTCCATGATGAAACATTTGTAGAGTCATAGGCCTTGTCAGTCTCATCTCCACGGGAACACATATCAACACATCATCTTTCATACTATAAATATACAGTCGGTCCTCTGTATCTGTGGGATTTACAGGTGTTTATTGAACCAAATATAAATCAAAAATATTCAGAGAAAAAATCCACAAAGTTTCAAAAAGCAAAACTATGTTGAATGGACACAAATGAAGCTGTGTGTAGGCTGTATCAGGAATTATAAATAATCAAGGGATGATTTCATGTACACAGGAGGATGTGCATGGGTTATTTGCAAATGCTGTGCCATTTCATGTAAGAGGCTTGAGCATCTGCAGATTGTGCTATCTGAGTGGAGATCCTGAAACCAATCACCCACGAATAGTGAGGGATGACTGTATATAATTTTTATTTCTCAATTTTAAATATAAAACATAAAAAAATTACAATAACAAGATAAAATAAACAAGTGTTTTATAGTGTGAGAATACGTTTAGATATATTTTTCTCTATGTGTAACCCTTGGGCCCATGTTATTTATTGAGAAGACATTCTATTCCACCTTAAACCACATGGCAGCCTTTGTCAACTATAAAGGGACTGTGTGTACACGGATGTATTTTAGACACTGTTTTCTGCTCAGTGGCTCTCTCTCTGTCCACTCTCTTGAGAATGCTGCATTTTATGCAGCCTTATACAACCCCTAAAATTTGGTAGCTGGAGTCCTCTAGTTATTTATTATAGGCTATTTGCTATGCTTTTTTTATTTTTCTTGAGGCAGAGTCTCGCTCTGTTGCCCAGGCTGGAGTGCAGTGGCACGATCTCGGCTCACTGCAACTTCCGCCTCCCAGGTTCAAGGGATTCCGTGCCTCAGCCTCTTGAATAGCTGGCATTACAAGTGCCTGCTACCAGGCATGGCTAATTTTTGTATTTTTAGCAGAGACATGGTTTCACTATATTGGCCAGGCTGGTCTCAAACTCCTGACCTCGGTTGATCACTCACTTCGGCTTCCAAAGTGCTGGGGAAATTGATTTTCTATAGCATTATGTTACTGGATATTTCTGTAAAATTTAAAATGAGGGAGGCAGAGAGACAGAGAGAGAGCAAACCATGAGTTGGAACTCTGGAATCTTGGGACATGAGACAAATTCTAGATAAATCTACAAAAATCCAGAATTTACATGTTGTGATTTTTGCTGATAAAGTACAATTCTAAGATTGTAAATAATTGCATAATCCTTCCCTGGGAGTTTAAATCATTTGAACTGGTTCTGCTGTAATACTAGAAATACAATCATGAAAAATTCTAATGGTTTATTAGTCACAATTGCTCTGAAAACCTTAATAATACCTATTAGATATTTTGCATATTACACAGGAAGAAGAGTTTGAATCTCAGATAAAAGCAATAAAAATACATGAAAAGTCTTTCATGTTAGCACAGATTTTAGGCATCTCGTGTTCGGGAGGTTGGATCTAAGACGTGTTTTGAGTTGGTCATAGTGAAGGACGCGAGGTGTCAATTCTAGTGAGAGCAATTTCCAGGAAGCCATGTTCCGCTCTTGAGCGAGCACCCACTGGGCCTCATGCAAGGTAGAAAGAGCCTGCGTACGTCACCCTCCCATGATGTGGTCAACATGTAAACTGCATGGGCAGGGCGCCAAATAACATCCTGTGCGCTGCTGAGCTGAGCTGGGGCGCGGCCGCCTGTCTGCACCGGCAGCACCATGTTGCTCATGGTCGTCAGCATGGCGTGTGTTGGTGAGTCCTGGAAGGGAATCGAGGGAGGGAGTGCGGGGATGGAGATCTGGACCTGGAGGTAAAGATATGGGCCTAGAGGTGGAGTTATGGGCCTGGAGGTGGAGTTATGGGCCTGAAGTGGAGATCTGGGCCTGGGGTGGAGATCTGGGCCTGGAGTGGAGATAGGGGCCTGGGGTGGAGATATGTGCCTGGAGTGGAGATCTGGGCCTGGAGTGGAGATATGGGCCTGGGGTGGAGATATGTGCCTGGGGTGGAGATATGGACCTGGAGGGGAGATATGGATGGGCCTGGAGGGGAGATGTGGGCCTAGAGGTGGAGTGATGGGCCTAGAAGTGGAGCGATGGGCCTGGAGTGGAGATATGGGCCTGGAGGTGGAGTTATGGGCCTGCAGTAGAGATATGGGCCTGAAGTGGAGATATGGGCCTGGAGTGGAGATATGGGCCTAGAAGTGGAGTTATGGGCCCGGAGGTGGAGTTAAGGGCATGAAGTGGAGATCTGGGCCTGGAGTGGAGATATGATCCTGGAGTGGAGATATGGGCCTGGGGTGGAGATACGGGCCTGGAGCAGACATACAAGCCTGGAAAGGAGATATGGGCCTGGAGAGGAGATAGAAGCCTGGAGTGGAAATATGGGCCTGGAGTGGAGATATGAGCCTGGAGTGGATATATGAGCCTGGAGTTGAGATAGGAGCCTGGAGTGGAGATATGGGCCTGGAGTGGACTTATCAGCCTGGAGAGGAGATATGGGTCTGGAGTGGAGATACGGACCTGGAGTGGAGATCTGGGCCTGTTGTGTAGATCTAGGCCTGGAGGTAGAGATCTGGGCCTGGAGGCTGAGTCTCTGCACAGCCGAGATCCTTGTTCCTGGGGGCAGGTAGGCAGCGAGGGTGAGTTTACCTTCAGCCCAGCAAGGGCCTGGCTGCCAAGACGCACAGCCCAGTGGGGGCAGCAGGGTGCCCTGGTTTGCCTGCAGATGGATGGTCCATCAGGATCTTTCTTTCTAGGGTTCTTCTTGGTCCAGAGGGCCGGTCCACACGTGGGTGAGTCCTTCCCCAAACCTTAGGGTGTCATCTCCCCACATAAGAGGATTTTCCTGAAATGGGAGGGAAGTCCTGTCGGGGAGTCTCTCATAAACTAGGAAGAGGGGACCCTCGGATGCTCGGCCCACATTTCTGACCTTGCCCTCCCCGGCCTTTCTTTCCCTTTCCTGAGTCAAGCTCTGTGAAGACTGGGGTGAGACTAGGGTGCTCCAAGATGGGTGTGCAGGGAGGAAGTGGTGTCAGCAGCAGAGAAAGAGAGGGAAGCAGTGCTAGGAACAGCAGGTCCTCTGAGGACAAAGGTGTAACTCACACCCTCCAGCGTTTCCGTGATGGTAGGGGCTGCAGTGTGGCTGTGGTCTTTCTACCAGAAAAGGTGAGGAAACCACAGCCATGGCCCTGACATTCCAAATCCTCTGATGGGGGCTCAGTTCATCAATTGGCTGATATTCCATTCACATAGGACTTGCCCTCCATGCCGTGTCTACTTTGTGTTGTTTTATATGAGTAATTTTGCAGTATTAAAATCTAGTAAGAGTTGCTTCTCCAGCACTTGCTCAAAGTTCTCAGCTGACACTTGTTGTAGGGAGACGCCATGTCTATGCAGGATGGGTCCTTCCTGTAGCCCTGGGCACCCAGGTGTGGTAGGAGCCTTAGAAAGTGGAAATGGGGAGAATCTTCTGGGCACTGGGAGTGAGGGGCGGCTCCACATCCTCCTCTCTAAGGCAGTGCCTCCTTCTCCCCCAGGTGGTCAGGACAAGCCCTTCCTGTCTGCCTGGCCCAGCGCTGTGGTGCCTCGAGGAGGACACGTGACTCTTCGGTGTCACTATCGTCATAGGTTTAACAATTTCATGCTATACAAAGAAGACAGAATCCACGTTCCCATCTTCCATGGCAGATTATTCCAGGAGAGCTTCAACATGAGCCCTGTGACCACAGCACATGCAGGGAACTACACATGTCGGGGTTCACACCCACACTCCCCCACTGGGTGGTCGGCACCCAGCAACCCCGTGGTGATCATGGTCACAGGTCAGAGGCTTTCCGTCTGGGCTTCTCACTGTCCCACCTCCTGAATCCCAGAGCTTCTGGTGGGGGTGTCCGTCAGGGTCCCATCACCCAGGCCCTGACTGTATTTGGGGTCAAGGGAGATTGAATACAGGGGAAATGGGTGCTGTGGTGGGAAGAATCACTGTCCCCAATGATGGCTACATTGTAATCCCTGGAGCCTGTGACTATTTATGTTACAGGGCAGGGGACTGAAGGGGAAGGTGGAGCTCAGGTTGTTGATGAGTTGACCTTGAGATGGGGAGACAGCCTGGACTGTCCCACTGGGCTCAGTGTAATCACAAGGGTCCACATGAGAGGTGGAGGAAGAGGGGAGTGGGGATTAGAGCAGTGTAGTGGGAGGGAGACGCTATCAGCCACTGCGGGCTTTGAAGGTGGAGGAAGACCACTAGTCACAGAATGCAGGTGGCCTCTAAGGGCTGGAGAAGTCAAGAGAACTGATTCGCTGATTCTCCAGAGGGAACGCAGCCCTGTAGACACCTTGATTTCAGCACAGGGAGAACTGGATCCAATTTCTGTCTCCAGAAGTGGAAGGGGTCAGTGTGTTCTCTCCCGCTGCCATGTTTGTGGTAATTTTCTGCAGCAGCAACAGGAAACCAACACAGGAACCCAGGTCAAGGACAAGTTAGGAAACCAAACAAGGATAGCCAGATGTGGTGGTGGGCGCGAGTAATCCAACGACTGGGGAGGCTGAGGCAAGAGAATCACTTGAACTGGGGATTTGTTCAAAAGAGATTGATTCAGGCTGCTAAGAGCCTGGACATGCAGCCTGTCCTCTTCCACCCCCACATAGACAGCAGGAAAGAGATTAGTGGGAAACAGATACAACAGCCCAAGAGATGAGGCTGTCTTCACAGTGGCAAGGGAGTCAGGGGCTACTGGAGACAGAGGGACAGAGAAGAGGGAGGAAGACAGATGGAGGCACCTGCACCAGGGGATATGGGCACAGAAAAGACACGGAGATGCAGAGAGGGAGGAGAGAGACAGACACGGGGAGGGGAACCCTCACTCATTCCAGGTGCCATGGATGGGATGATAAAGAGAGATGCCTTCTAAACTCACAACTTCTCTTTCTAGGAAACCACAGAAAACCTTCCCTCCTGGCCCACCCAGGTCCCCTGGTGAAATCAGGAGAGAGAGTCATCCTGCAATGTTGGTCAGATATCATGTTTGAGCACTTCTTTCTGCACAAAGAGGGGATCTCTAAGGACCCCTCACGCCTCGTTGGACAGATCCATGATGGGGTCTCCAAGGCCAATTTCTCCATCGGTCCCATGATGCTTGCCCTTGCAGGGACCTACAGATGCTACGGTTCTGTTACTCACACCCCCTATCAGTTGTCAGCTCCCAGTGATCCCCTGGACATCGTGGTCACAGGTGAGAGTGTCTAGACATTGTTCTCATTGTCACTGGGACACAGAGTGAATGATCCAGGACTTGGAACCCCCAGGTGGTCATGAGGAAGATAAGTGTGGGATTCTTATGGAAAGAGAGTGACTTGGTGAGGTCTGTACCAACAGAGACAGAGAAACAGGAGACATAAGTACAGAACAGGTGTCATAACAGAGGACAGACACAGGGGCCATACAGGGAGGTAGAAAAGAGAGAAAGAGGTAAAGGAGACACTCAGACAGACAGACATGTCCCAGAGAGAGGTGTCCTTCCATGCTGACTTTGCTCAGAGACCTGGCACAGGTTAGAAGTTTCATTTCTGTTTTACCTCCACAAAGTGTTCCTACCAGAAGAACCCAAGGACACCCATATTTCTGACCTGAGTTGGGCCCTGTGGCCTCAGGCCTTGTGCCACCTACAGATGCCGTGTTTATTCTGACACCTCTGCCTTCCATGCAATGGAGAGTAATCATCCCAGGATATCATGGCCCCTGAACACCAACCCCTGTATGCTGTGTGAACTTGGGGTCCCCAGACTGGATTCTGAGGCTCATATTCCAAATAATCCCACATATGATAGGATCGCTGAGAGACACAGAGAAAAATCAGGGACACCAAAAAGCAAAGACATAAACACACACAAAATGAGCCAGAAGAAGGAGATTAAGAGATTCACAGACACATAAAAAGAAAGAAAAGAGGGCAGAGTGGAGAGAATGATGGAAAGGAGGAGAGAAAAGCCCCAAAATCAGAACCCTGAGGGAGGGACACAAAGACAGAGAAAGATAAATATGTGGGGATGGATTGCAGAGATTCCAAATAGAACTAGAGAGACTGAGAGGCAGAGAAAGACAAGGAGACGGAGAGAGAGAGATGATAGATGGATAGATAGACGTAGATAGATGATAAATAGGTAGATGATAGATAATGGATTGGTTATAGATACATAGATGATGACTGATAGATGATACATAGAGATGACGATGATGATGATAGACACATAGATATATACATAGATGATACATAAATAGAGACAGAGAGGCAGACAGAGAGGTAATAGAGAGAGAGATAGATGATACATATATAGATAATAGATGATTGATGGATAGATAGACAGACAGACAATTGATAGAGAGATAGATAAGTGATACATAAATATAGATGATAGATAATTTGTAGATAGACACAAAATAGATAAATAGATAGAAATGTGCAGAAAGTTATGAACAAGGCAGAAAGTGAGAGACTCAAAATTAAAGAAAAAGGAAGATCAAGTCAACCAATCCAAGGAGGGTCAGAGAGAATAAAACAATCCAAAAAGGGAAAACATACCTCAGGGTGGGGAAGTGAGGTCATAGACCTAGAGAGACAGAAAAGGTAGAAGGAGGAAACAGATATGAAGAGAGATGGGGTGGAGGGTGAGAGAGAGAGAGAGAGCATTAGGTCATAGAGCAGGGGAGTGAGTTCTCAGCTCAGGTATGAGGGGAGCTATGACAAGGAAGAACCTCCCTGAGGAAACTGCCTCTTCTCCTTCCAGGTCCATATGAGAAACCTTCTCTCTCAGCCCAGCCGGGCCCCAAGGTTCAGGCAGGAGAGAGCGTGACCTTGTCCTGTAGCTCCCGGAGCTCCTATGACATGTACCATCTATCCAGGGAGGGGGGAGCCCATGAACGTAGGCTCCCTGCAGTGCGCAAGGTCAACAGAACATTCCAGGCAGATTTCCCTCTGGGCCCTGCCACCCACGGAGGGACCTACAGATGCTTCGGCTCTTTCCGTCACTCTCCCTACGAGTGGTCAGACCCGAGTGACCCACTGCTTGTTTCTGTCACAGGTGAGAAAAGCCCATATCTCTCTCATGTCCTATGATCCTAAATCCTTAGCTAAGGAGCTTCCTGCTGATGATGGAGAAAAGCATGGACAGATGCAGAGAGAAGACACAGCAGGTGTGAGGGCGGAGTCAGGGCGCAGGATGGCAGACAGGGCACCTCCAAACCCTCCTTCATGGCCTGCATGGAGGCCTCCGATCAGGGCTCCAGGCACCCAGGCAGATGGAGAAAGCGGTCAGGACAGACCCAGAGAAGGGGAGACTGGGCTTAGTTTGGGGAGATCAGAGGTTCCCTCAGCCCCTCAATCTTATCCATTTCCCAGAAGCCCATCATGGCCTCTCACCCACACAGAGAGATATCATCACCAGCAACCCCTACACCCTTTTCTTTTCATTTTCAAAAATATTTATTGAGGTTAAATGTAACTATATAATTTACCACCTTTACCATTTTTAAAAGTAAAATCTAGTGGTCATAAATACCTTTATATGCTGGGTGTGGTGGTTCACGGTTGTAATCTCCGCGCTTTGAGAGGCCAAGGAAGGTGGATCATTTAAGATCAGGAACTCGAGATCACCCTGGCCAACATGTGGGAAATTCATCTTTACTAAACAGACAAGAAAAATTAGCCGAGCATGCTGGCATGCACCTGTAGTCCTAGCTACTTGGGAGGCTGAGGCAGGAGAAGCACTTAAAGCCAGGAGGCAGAGGTTGCACTGAGCCGAGATCATGCCACTGCACTGCAGCCTGGGAGACAGAGAGAGACTCTGTTTCTAAATAAATAAATACATCTATATTCTTTTTTTTGTTACCCTCCACCCTTCCCTTCCTGGCCTCTGGTGTCCACCATTGTATTCTCCACCTTCATGAGATCCACCTTTTATCTCCTGCATGTGGGTGAGAAATGGGAATCTTTGTAATGACCTCCAGTTCCATCCATGTGGCTGCAAATGACAGGATGTTATTGTTTCTATGGATGAGTAGTCTCCACTGTGTGTGTGTACCACAGTTCTCTATCCATTCACCCACTGATGGGCAGGTAGGTTGACTCCACATCTTGGCTACTGTGAACAGTGCTGGAACAGTCATATGAGTGCAGATATCACTTCGATACACTGATGTCCTTTCCTTTGGATATAAACCCAGTAGTGAAATTGCTGGACACTATGAAAGTTCTCTTTTTTTTTTTTTCTTTTTTGAGAAAGAGTTTCCCTCCTTAGTCCAAGCTGGAGTCTAAGTGGTGAGATCTTGGCTCATTGCAACCTGTGCCTCCTAGGTTCAAATGATTGTCCTGACTCAGCCTCCCTAGTAGCTGTGATTACAGGTGCACGCCACCATGCCTGGCTAATTTTTGTATTTTTTTAGCACAGACGGGATATCCCAATTTTGGGCAGGCTGCTCTCAAACTCCTGACCTCAAGTGAGGTGCCTGCCTCGGTTTCCCAAAGTGCTGAAGTTACAGGCATAAGCCACTATGCCCAGCCTCCTTTTAGTTTTTTAAAGATTTTCCATACTTTTCTCCATAATAGTTGTACTAATTTACATTCCTACCAACAGGGTACCAGGGTTCTCCTTTCTCTACCATCTTGCCAGCATTTGTTTTGCCTGTCTTGCAGTAAAAGCCATTTTACTTTACTTTATTTTATTTATTTATTTATGTTGAGATGGAGTTTCACTCATAGTCTCCCAGGCTGGAGTGCAAGGGTGTGATCTCAGCTCACTGCAACCTCCGCCTCCCGCGTTCAACTGATTCTCCTGCCTCAGCCTCCAAAGTAGCTGGGATTACAGGCATGTGCCACCACGCCTAGCTAATTTTTGTATGTTTAGTAGAGAGGGAGTTTCTCCATGATGGTCAGGCTGGTCTCCCGACCTCAGGTGATCCGCCCACCTCCGCCTCCTGAAGTGCCGGAATTACAGGCGTGAGCCACCGGCCTAAAAGGCATTTTAATGGGATGAGATGAAAACTCATCGCGATTGTAATTTACATTTCTCTGATGATGAGTGATGCCGAGTACTTTTTCATATACGTGATCGCCATTTCTATGTTTTGTTTGTGGAGAAATGTCTCCTCATGTCTTTTGCTCGTTTTTTAATTAAATTGTTTTATTGAGTTGTTTGAGCTTCTTATATTTCCAGTTATTAATCCCGTCTCAGATGAATAGTTTGCAAATATTTGCTCCTATTTTGTGGGTTGTCTCTTCACTTTGTTGGTTTATCTTTTGTGGTGCAGAAGTTGCTTGGTTTGATGTAATCCTAATGGTCTATTTTTTGCTTTGATTACTTGTGTTTTGAAGGTTTTAAACAAAATGTCTTTCGTCAGACAAATGTCTTCCCCATTATTTTCTTCTACATGTTTCATAGGTTCAGGCCTTAGACTCATGTTTTTAATCCATTTTCATTTGATTTTTGTGTATGGTGACAGGTATAGATGCAGTTTTATTCCTCTGCATGTAGATATCCAGTTTTCCCCACACCATTTATTGAAAAGACTGTCCTTTCCTGATTGTAAGTTCTCGGCACCTTTGTCAAAGTCCATTAAATGGGCTGGGTATGGTGGCTCACACCTGCAATTCCAGCACTTTGGGAGGCCGAGGCGGGTGGATCACCTGAAGCCAGGAGTTCAAGACCAGGCTGGCCAACAGAGTGAAACCTCGTCTCTACTAAAAATACAAAAATTAGCTGAGCATGGTGACCAGTGCCTGTAATACCACTACTCGGGTGTTTGAGGCAAGAGAATTGCTTGAATCCAGGAAGTGGAGGTTGCATTGAGCTGAGATTGCACCTCTGCACTCCAGCCTGCATGACAGAGCAAGATTCTATCACACACACACACACAAAAAGCCATTGGATGTAAATGCATGGATTATATCTGTGTTCTCCATTCTGTTTCATTTTTTATGTGCCTTTCTTTATGCCAATGTCATGCTGTTTTGCTTACTACAGCTCTGTAACATATTTCTAAGTCAGGTAGTGTGATGCTCCTGTTTTCTCTTTATACCTTCAAGTCTCAAGACAGTGGGCATCGCACACAAAAATTATGGAGAAGAGGATCCCAAGACTCCCAGGGTCCAACATTAGATAACAGAGTGTTGGCCATGAACCAACCTCAAAGATTTCCATTGAGTAGAGGACAAGCACCCTCATTTCCTCACATCTCTCCTGTCCCATGTTCTAGGAAACCCTTCAAGTAGTTGGCCTTCACCCACAGAACCAAGCTCCAAATCTGGTGAGTAAAGGACCCCTCTTATCTCTGCTTTTGGAAACCTGGGGAGGTGGAAGCCTTGGATGCAAGTGTTGGCTCAAACCTCCCAGCTCTTTGAATGAGGGCCTGTCTTCCACCATCTCTGAACTCCAGACACTCCAACAGTGAAAGGGATCTAGGGCCACCAAAGGGCTCAGCGAAGTCTCTTAACCTTTAATGTCCTGCAGGTGAGACCTCCTACAAGCTAGAAGAATGATTGCCAATCTGACATCCTTCTCAGGAAACATGCAGTGTTTTTTCTTCCTGCATTCCTAACTGGAGGATAAATTCCTGGGGACTTGAGAGAGGGAAGGGAAGGGAACATCTGATGAGGGCGAGGTGTTTTAGAGAAGTTCCACTTGCCAAGGAATGAATTACTGTTGGTCATGAAGCAACCCTGGCTGACTCAGCAGAGCAAGAGCCTTGCCGTAATAGAGAACAGAGCTCATGCACGCACACTTCGACTCACTGACTTATTCAGCCACGGCCCCATGCTCAGGCTGTGCAGTTGGAATCCTTTCCTATTGTTGCCATAACAAATTTCCACAAGATTCGTGGGTGAAAACAAAGCGGCTTTTTAATTATCTTACAGTGCTGTAGCTCAAAGTATGAAGTGCATCTCACTGGGCTAAAAACAAGGTGACAGCAAGGCTGTCTTCCCTTGCCTGAGGATTCCAGGCAAGAATCTGCTTCTCACTTGTCCCAGCTTCTAAAGGCTCCCAGTTCCTTGGCTCCTGGTCCCCTTCCTCCTTCCTCAAAGCCCACAAAGACTGGTCACATCTCACATGGCATCACTCAGACCCTTCTTCCTTACCACACCTCTTTCTCTGAATGCTGCTCTCCCTTCTTCCTTATCTTTTGAAAACTTGGGGATTCTATTGGGTTCACCAAGATGAAAATCCATCATAATCTCCCGGAAATCATTCAGGATACCCTTGTTTTAAGTTCAGCTGACTAGCAACCGTAATTCCATCTGCAATCTTCATTCCTTCTTTCCATGTAAAATAAGATATTCACAAGCTATGGAGGCCAGGACAGGGACATTTTGGGGTGGGACAGCATTCTCCTGCCTTCCACGAACGGTGAACAAGATGCATTTGGCCTCTGCTCTTGGGACACTGATATTGCAGATGGTTAAATGGGAGGGCAGAAAATGAATGCACAAGTGGACCAATAAATGAATGATCCATTGGGAAGCATCTGTGCATGAAATCTATTTGTTTGTTCGTTCATTTATTTATTGAGACAGAGTCTCCCTCTGTCTTCCAGGCTACAGTGCAGTGTCACGATCTTGGCTCACTGCAACCTGCGTCTCCTGGATCCAAGTGATTCTCCTGCCTCACCCTCTCGAGTAGCTGGGATTACAGGCAACTGCCACCATGCCCAGCTAATTTTTTTGTATATTTTTTGTAGAGAGGATGTTTCACCATGTTGGCCAAGCTTGTCTGAAACTCCCAACCTCAAGTGATCCGACCATCTCAGCAACCCAAAGTACTGGGATTACAGGCGTGAGCCACTTTGCCCAGCCAGAATTCAAAATAAATAATAGATAATGCTGAGTGTATAATTTTGGGTGACAGAGAAGGTCTCACTAATCAGATATTTGTGACATTAATGAAAAACACGGATTGAACCCCTGAAAGATTGGCGGAAGGATTTTGCACACACAGCTGTCAGCCGTGAAGGCAGAAAGCTGAAAACAATCTGATGTGGAAGGAAGAGGCTCTGCCTGAAATGCTGGGAATGAGGTGGGGAGAATGACAAGATGACTGTAGGGAGACGGAGAGCACACTGGGTACACAGGAAACTAAGGAGCAACAAGGAGTGTGTGTTTGACACTCACAGCCATTGGATTCACCTCGGGGTAGCCAGGAATCCCTACATGATTAATATGACTGACATGAAAATAAGGGAGGCCCAGGGGCGTAACTGGAATCTAGGAGACCGTGGAAAAGGCAATTCCCGCCCCACTGGTGAAATGTGGTGCTGATTTAGACCCTAAGTGGATGAAGCAGATGGATATAAGCTATGCTTGTGAGGTGGAATCATTTGCAGGGAGGGCTTGCTGGGTTTGAGTTTCCTAGTTGTTTAATCCTTGCTAAATTAATTTCTTTCTGAGATTTATTCCTCCTACACATAAATCAATACCTGGCAAAGGAGTGACAGATATATGAGGGGTGGTGGAAATGAAGGGACCTATTATAGCATAGTATACAAGTCTGTGAACGGTGGCTCACGCCTGTAACCCAGCACTGCAGGAGGCTAAGGCCAGTGGATTCCAAGAAGTCAGGAGTTCCAGACCAGCCTGGCCAACATGGTGAAACCCTATCTCTACATGGTGAAACCCTATCTCTCCTAAAAATACAAAAATTAGTCGAGCATGGTGGTGCATCCCTGTAATCCCAGCTCCTGCTCTGGAGGATGAAGCAGGAGAATGACTTCAACCCAGGAGGTGGAGGTTGCAGTGAGTGGAGATCGCATCACTGCACTCCAGCCTGGGTGACACAAGGAGACTCCATCTCAAAAAATAAAAATAAGAAATGCATAAATGTAATAAAACACACACGAATGACAAAGGCACCTGAATTCCCATCATCATTTTTCTATTTCTCTATAATTACTTCTTTGATCCTTTATCTTATCCATTAGGCAATCAGCCTAAAACCTCTTCCGTATTTGGCTTTCTGTGAGCATGAGATCATATAGAAAATGTGAAAGCCCGCTGAATCCTCCAGGACAAATCCTGGAATAGAGAAAGTGCTCTGGTCATCACAAAAAAAACTTGCCCCCTCACCCAAATCCCCCACCTCACCCCTACTTCCAATCACCTGTGGAGATACAGATAGATCATGGGGAGGTAAATGCTCATACTCCTTGGAGTGAGTCCAGATCTTGGAATCAGAGATCTGTGCCAGCACTAGCTCCTGCTCCCCTTTCCTACTAATTCACAGGAGGACAGGTGGTATTGAAGCAATAGATAGTCGAGGGGGTGGTCCTTCCCCCAGCCTCTCAGGTAGAACAGCAGCCTAACATGTGTCTCCCGAGATCACAAAGAGTAGCACATTTCACACGGGCTTCAACACTATTTTCTGGCTGTTTGACATAAGAGAATTCTACTTCGCTTTTTTTATATTGATTTCACTTTTGTTTCCTTTTCTTGGAGAATGCAAGTTGTTTAACTCAAGAATGCCGTGGATGTAGAAATCCTAAAGCACATTCGCTGTGTATCAATCCCAGTCCAGTCTTCCCAGAGAAGACTCTAAACACCTCCTGGACTGCACCTGGGCCTATGCCAATTCCTATCACTCACCGTCACTCCAGGGAGACAGAACACACAGAGAATACGTTACATAGGCAGGTTCATTACTAACAGATAAGCAGCGAGTGACAACAGAAGCCTACATTTCAATGTGAGCCAGTTCCCCAAGGCTCAGAAAAGCTGCTCGAGACATGTGGAGTCACCCCATTTGCAGTGTAGCTGGGGGAAGCCAGAAAGCAGCCCAGCCTGGGTTTTGTACCCTGGAGCCACAGGAAGCACTCAGCTAAAGCACTGCATGACGTCCTCCTCCAGGAAGAACAGGAAGACAGCCCAGGCTGTTCTGGGACGATCCTCCTGATCTCAGGACTTTGCTGTCTTAGTCCATTTTTGTTGCTCTAAAGGAACACTTGAGCCTGGGTAACTTCTAAAGAAGAGATTGGTTTGCCTCAACATTCTGCAGGCTGTACTGGAAGCATGGCACCAGCATCTATTTCTTATGATGGCCTCAGGCCGCTCCCACTCTGGCAGAAGGGAAGGAGAGTCTGTCTGTGCAGAGACCACAGAGATCACACGGCAAGAGAGGGAGCAAGGGGGAGGGGGAGCAATGGAGCTTCCAAGCTCTTTTTAACAACCAGCTCTCCAGGAACTAATAGAGAGGGAACTTGCTAACCCCGTCTCCTTGGGACAGCATTGATCTGTTCATGATGGATCCACCTCCATGACCCAAACACCTCCCAAGAGGCCCAACCTCCCACACTGGGGGTTAAATTTCAATGTGAGGTTTGAAGGGGTCAAACATCTCAACTAAAGTAGTTGTATCCTCAGCACGTTCCATGGTTACTATGAGAGCTATAACTGAGAAAGCAGGAGGAAGCTAGGTCTCCCGCCATCTGGGTGCTTGTCCGAAAGAGATGCTGTAAGTGGTTACCTGTCAATCAAGAAATGCAAGACAATTCATATAGAGAATCTGCTATGATTAGCTTCTTACTGGTGTCTCCTCTTCTTCCAGGTAACCCCAGACACCTGCACGTTCTGATTGGGACCTCAGTGGTCATCATCCTCTTCATCCTCCTCCTCTTCTTTCTCCTTCATCTCTGGTGCTCCAACAAAAAAAGTAAGTCTCACGCGGCACAGGCCAGAGAGCTCAGGGCCATGTGGGGAAGCAGGATGGGAGCACACAGCTGTGTGTTCCTCACTGGCAGGATGGTCCCTGGCCCAAGGCAGCAGCCACAGAGGCAGGACTTTCTAGAGAGAGCACCAGACTCCCTGCCCCTGCCTTCAGCTCACAGACCGTTGCCTGATTCTGAACTGTATCCTCATGTCCCCCGCAGCCACTCACATCCAGGAGAAGGTTCCATGACAGGCAGAAAGTGGGAGATAGAATCAATGGGATGGGAACTCAGAGCTATTCATGGGATGGGTCCTTGAGCTCAGAGAGATAGAATGTCTGAGTCTGCTGTTGGCAACTGAGGGACCTCAGGCACCTATGGCCTCCCCCTGTTTGTTGGTATCTGCTTAGGAAATGAGGACCCAGAAGTGCCCTCCGAGCTCTTTTGTTGACTTCCGTCTCCTACAGATGCTGCTGTAATGGACCAAGAGCCTGCAGGGAACAGAACAGCCAACAGCGAGGTAGGTGCTCCTCGGCCCAGCCTCGTGGCTAGTGTTATTCCCAAACAGTCCTGGAAAACGTGAGCACCCTCCCTCACTCAGCATTTCCCTCCCTCACTCAGCATTTCCCTCTCTCCAGGACTCTGATGAACAAGACCCTCAGGAGGTGACATATGCACAGTTGGATCACTGCGTTTTCACACAGAGAAAAATCACTCGCCCTTCTCAGAGGCCCAAGACACCCCCTACAGATACCATCTTGTACACGGAACTTCCAAATGCTAAGCCCAGATCCAAAGTTGTCTCCTGCCCATGAGCACCACAGTCAGGCCTTGAGGGCGTCTTCTAGGGAGACAACAGCCCTGTCTCAAAACCGAGTTGCCAGCTCCCATGTACCAGCAGCTGGAATCTGAAGGCGTGAGTCTTCATCTTAGGGCATCGCTCCTCCTCACGCCACAAATCTGGTGCCTCTCTCTTGCTTACAAATGTCTAGGTCCCCACTGCCTGCTGGAAAGAAAACACACTCCTTTGCTTAGCCCACAGTTCTCCATTTCACTTGACCCCTGCCCACCTCTCCAACCTAACTGGCTTACTTCCTAGTCTACTTGAGGCTGCGATCACACTGAGTAACTCACAATTCCAAACATACAAGAGGCTCCCTCTTGACGTGGCACTTACCCACGTGCTGTTCCACCTTCCCTCATGCTGTTTCACCTTTCTTCGGACTATTTTCCAGCCTTCTGTCAGCAGTGAAACTTATAAAATTTTTTGTGATTTCAATGTAGCTGTCTCCTCTTCAAATAAACATGTCTGCCCTCATTGCTTCAGGTAATGTGACACTGTATTCGCTGAAAGAAACCGCTGTTATCATTACCATGTCCACATAACCCTATCTGTTCTCCGCTAGGTTCTCACCCCTGGACTCTGAGCTTCTGGAAGCAGGGTGGAGCCTCATTTGTCTCTGGGACTCCAATTTCCATCCAAAGATGCAGCACATAGGAGGTTCCAAGGATCGTGAATCACATGAACAAGTGATATTCTTACTCTCTGCAACCTGGAAAGCTGGCAGAGTCATTCCACGATGAAACATTTGTAGAGTCATAAGCCTTGCTAGTCTCATCTCCATGGGGACACATATCAACACATCATATTTCATACTATAAATATACAGTCGCTCCTCCATATCTGTGGGGTTTACAGGTGTTTATTGAACCAAGTGTAAATCAAAAATATTCAGAGAAAATGTCCACAAAGTTTCAAAATGCAAAACTATGTTGAATGGACACAAATGAGGCAGTGTGTAGGCTGTATCAGGAATTATAAGTAATCAAGAGATGATTTCATGTATACAGGAGGATGTGCATGGGTTATATCCAAATGCTGTGTCATTTTATGTAAGAGGCTTGAGCATCTGCAGATTTTGGTACCTGAGTGGAGATCCTGAAACCAATCACCCACGAATAGTAAAGGATGACCGTATATGACTTTTATTTCTCAATTTTAAATATAAATCATAAAAAATGTACAATAACTAGATAAAAAGTAAGAAGTGTTTTTATAGTGTGAGAATAAGTTTAGATTTATTTTTTCCTACGTGTAACCCTTTGGTTTAATATTATTTATTGAGAAGACATTCTATGCCACCTTAAACCACACGGCAGCCTTTGTCAACTCTAAAGGGACTGTGTGTACACGGATGTATTTTAGACACTGTTTCTGCTAAGGGGCTCTCTGTGTCCACACTCTTGAGGATGCTGCACTTCATGTAGCCTTATAAAACCCTTTAAATTTAGTAGCCAGAGCCCTCTAATTTGTTATTATAGGCTACTTGCTATTTTTTTTTCTTGAGGCGGAGTCTTGCTCTGTCGCCCAGGCGGGACTGTAGTGGAGCAATCTCAGCTCACTGCAACTTCCGCCTCCCAGGTTCAGGCGATTCTCGTGCCTCAGTCTCTTGAGTAGCTGGCGTTTCAGGTGCCTGCCACCAGGCATGGCTAATTTTTGAATTTTTAGCAGAGACGCGGTTTCACTGTGTTGGCCAGGCTGCTCTCAATCTCCTCATCTCAGTTGATCCGCCCACCTCGGCTTCCCGACCTGCTGGGGGAAACTTGATTTTCTATAGCATTATGTTACTGGATATTTCTGTAAAATTTAAAATGAGGGAGGCAGAGAGACAGAGAGAGAGCAAACTCCAAAGTTGGGACTCTGGAATCTTGAGTCATGAGACAAATTATAGATAAAACTACAAAAATCCAGAATTTACATGTGTGGTTTTTGCTGATAAAGTACAATTCTAAGATTGTAAATAATTGCATAATCCTTCCCTGGGAATTTAAATCATTTGAACTGGTTCTGCTGTAATACTAGAAATACAAGCATGAACAATTCTAATGGTTTATTAGTCACAATGACTCTGAAAACACTAATAATACCTATTAGATATTTTGCATATTACACAGGAAGAAGAGTTCGAATCTCAGATAAAAACAATAAAAATTCATGAAAAGTCTTTCATGTTAGCACAGATTTTAGGCATCTCATGTTTGGGAGGTTGGATCTAAGACGTGTTTTGAGTTGGTCATAGTGAAGGACGCGAGGTGTCAATTCTAGTGAGAGCAATTTCCAGGAAGCCATGTTCCGCTCTTGAGCGAGCACCCACTGGGCCTCATGCAAGGTAGAAAAAGCCTGCGTACGTCACCCTCCCATGATGTGGTCAACATGTAAACTGCATGGGCAGGGCGCCAAATAACATCCTGTGCGCTGCTGAGCTGAGCTGGGGCGCGGCCGCCTGTCTGCACCGGCAGCACCATGTCGCTCATGGTCATCATCATGGCGTGTGTTGGTGAGTCCTGGAAGGGAATAGAGGGAGGGAGCGTGGGGATGGAGATCTGGGCCCAGAGGTGGAGATATGGGCCTGGAGGTGGAGTTATGGGCCTGGAGTGGAGATCTGGGCCTGGAGTGGAGATCTGGGCCTAGAGATGGAGTGATTGGCCTAGAAGTGGAGATCTGCGCCTGGAGTGGAGATCTGGGCCTGGAGTGAAGATCTGGGCCTGGAGTGGAGATATGGGCCTGGAGTGGGGATAGGAACCTGGAGTGGAGAGAGGAACCTGGAGGAGAGATAGGAACCTGGAGGGGAGGTAGGAGCCTAGGGTGGAGATATGGGACTGGAGTGGAGATATGGGACTGGAGTGGAGATATGGGCCTGGAGTGGAGTTATGGGCCTGGAGTGAAGTTATGGGCCTGGAGGTGGAGATATGGGCCTGGAGTGGAGATATGAGCCTGGAGTGGAGATATGGTCCTGGAGTGGAGATATGGGCCTGGAGTGGAGATATGGGTCTGCAGTGGAGATATGGGCCTGGAGGTGGAGATATGGGTCTGGAGTGGAGTTATGGGCCTGGAGTGAAGTTATGGGCCTTGAGGTGGAGATATGGGCCTGGAGTGGAGATATGGGACTAGAGTGGAGATAGGGGCCTGGAGGTGGAGATCTGGGCCTGGAGTGGAGATCTGGGCCTGGAGTGGAGATCTGGGCCTGGAGTGGAGATATGGGCCTGGAGTGGAGATATGGGTCTGCAGTGGAGATATGGGCCTGGAGGTGGAGATATGGGCCTGGAGTGGAGTTATGGGCCTGGAGTGAAGTTATGGGCCTGGAGGTGGAGATATGGGCCTGGAGTGGAGATATGGGACTAGAGTGGAGATACGGGCCTGGAGGTGGAGATCTGGGCCTGGAGTGGAGATATGGGCGTGGAGTGGAGATATGGGCCTGGAGTGGAGATATGGGCGTGGAGTGGAGATATGGCCCTGGAGTGGAGACATGGGCATGGGGTGGAGATATGGGGCCTGGTGTGTAGATATGGGGCCTGGAGTGGAGATATGGCCCTGGAGTGGAGATATGGGCCTGGAGTGGAGATCTGGGCCTACGGTGGAGATATGGGCCTAGGATGGGGATATGGGCCTGGAATGGAGATATGGGCCTGGGTGTGGAGATATGGGACTGGAGTGGAGATATGGGCCTGATGTGGAGATATGGGCTTGGAGTGGAGATATGATCCTGGAGTGTAGTTATGGGCCTGGAAGTGGAGATCTGGGCCTGGGGTGGAGATATGGGCCTGGAGTGGAGATATGGGACTGGAGAGGAGATATGGGCCTGGAGTGGAGATATGGGCCTGGATTGGAGATATGGGCCTAGGGTGGAGATCTGAGCCTGGATTGGAGATGTGGGCCCGGATTGGCTATATGGGTCTAGGGTGGAAATATCGGCCTGGAGTGGAGATATGGGCCTGGAGTGGAGATATGGGCTTGGGGTGGGGATATGGGCCTGGAGGCTGGGTCTCTGCACAGCCGAGAGCACTGTTCTTGGGTGCAGGTAGGCACTGATGGTGAGTTTCCCTTCGGCCCAGGAAGGGGCTGGCTATCAAGACTCACAGCCCAGTGGGGGCAGCAAGGAAGGCCTTGTTTGCCTGCAAATGGATCTTCCATCATGATCTTTCTTTCCAGGGTTCTTCTTGCTGCAGGGGGCCTGGCCACAGGAGGGTAAGTCCTTCTCCAAACCTTAGGGTGTCATCTCCCCACATAAGAGGATTTTCCTGAAACGAGAGGGAAGTCCTGTCAGGGAGTCTCTCATAAACTAGGAAGAAGGGACCCTGGGGTGCTCGGCCCACAGTTCCGACCTTGCCTCCCTGGCCTCTCAACCCCTTGGCAGAGTCAAGTTGTGTGGGGACCAGGGTTGGACTAGGGTGTTCAAAGCTGGGTTGTGTGGTGGGGAAGTGGTAGGAACAGCAGATCCTCTGAGGACAAAGGTGTTACTCACACACTTCAGCGTTTCCATGACGGTAGGGGCTGCAGTGTGGCTGCTGTCATTCTACCAGAAGAGGTGGGAAACCACAGCCATGGCCCTGACATTCCAAATCCTCTGATGGGGCTAAGTTTTTTATTCTCATTCAGGCAACTGCTGATATTCCATTCTCAAAGGACATGCCCTCCACTTCATGTCTACCCTGTGTTGTTTTATGTCAGTAATCTTACAGTATTAAAATCTAGTAGGAGTCTCTTACTCAGCACTTGCTCAAAGTTCTCAGCTGACACTTTTGTTGTACGGAGACACCTTGTCTTTGTGGGATGGGTCCTTCCTTTAGCCCTAGGCACCAAGGTGTGATAGCAGCCATAGAAATGTGGAAAGTGGGGAGAATCTTCTGAGCACAGGGAGGGAGGCACAGCTCCACATCCTCCTCTCTAAGGCGGCGCCTCCTTCACCCCAAGGTGGTCAGGACAAGCCCTTGCTTTCTACCTGGCCCAGCCTTGTGGTGCCTCCAGAACATGTGACTCTTCAGTGTCACTCTAATCTTGGGTTTAACAACTTCAGTCTGTACAAGGATGATGGGGTGCCTGTCCCTGAGCTGTACAACAGAATATTCTGGAAAAGCCTTTTCATGGGCCCTGTGACCCCCTCACATGCAGGGACCTATAGATGCCGGGGTTCACACACACACTCCCCCAGTGGGTGGTCGGCACCCAGCAACCCCCTGGTGATCATGGTCACAGGTCAGAGGGCTCCTGTCTGGGATTCTCCTTGTCCCACCTCCTGAATCCCAGAGCTTCTGGTAGGCATGTCCTTGAGGGTCCCATCACGCAGGCCCTAACTGTATTTGGGGTAAAGGGGGATTGAATACAGGGAAATGGGTGCTGTGGTGGGAAGAATAAGTGTCCCCAATGATGACTGCATTCTAATCCCTGGAGTCTGTGACTATTTATGTTATAGGGGAAGGGACTGAAGGGGAAGATGGAGCTCAGGTTGTTGATGAGTTGACCTTGAGATGGGGAGACAGCCTGGACTGTCCCGGTGGGCTCAGTATAATCACAAGTGTCCACATGAAAGGAGGAGGAAGAGGAGAGTGGGGATTAGAGCAGCGTAGTGGGAGACTCCATCAGCTTTGAAGGTGGATGAAGGCCATAAGCCATGAATGCAGGTGGCCTATAGAGGCTGGGAAAGTCAAGTAACTGATTCTCCTGAGTCTCCAGAGGGAACACAGCCCTGCAGATGCCTTGATTTTAGCCCTCGAAAAACAGGGTCCGCTTTCTGTCTCCAGAATCGGAGGGGGTCAGTGTGCTCTCTCCTGCTGCCATGCTTCTGATAATTTTCTACAGCAGCAACAGGAAACCAACACTGGAACCCAGGTCAAGGACAAGTTAAGAAAAGACACAAGGATAGCCAGGCATGGTGGCAGGTGCATGTAATCCTAGCGACTCGGGAGGCTGAGAGCAGGAGAATCGCTTGAACCCAGGAGACAGAGGTTGCAGTGAGCGTAGACCACACCACTTCACTCCAGCCTGGGCGAAGGAGTGAGACTCTGTCTCCAAAATTAATTAATTAATTAAAGAAACCAAACAAAGAGAAGGTTGGCTACACCGAGATCAGCAAGGGTGGGATGATGATGCCACCACCAGGCTCCATCCACATAGGGAGGGGTTGATACTCCTCAAATCAGCACGAGGAGCCAGCCTATGGAAACTGGCACCATGGAGAAGGCACAGGCATGGCAAGAGTGGCTCCCAGTCCCCACCAGGAACAGGGTGTGTGGACACTGGTGCCTGCCTTACTGATCAGTTCATACCTCCTGCCAAGGATTCCAATTCGTCCAAAAGAGATTGAACCAGGCTGCTAAGAGCCGGGACGTGCAGCCTATCCTGCTTCCTCTTCCACTCCCACATAGACAGTAAGAAAGACATTAGTGTGAAATAGATACAACAGCCCAAGAGATGAGGCTGAGCCCAGTGGGAAGGGAACCACAGCTACTAGAGACAGAGAGACAGAGAAGAGGGAGGGAGACAGATGGAAGGACCTGCACCAGGAGTTATGGGCACAGAAAAGAACATGAAGACACAGAGAGGAAGCAGAGAGACAGACACCAGCGAAGGGAAGGCTCACTCATTCCAGGTGCCATGGATGGGATGATAAAGAGAGACACCTTCTAAACTCACAACCTCTCTTCCTAGGAGTCCACAGAAAACCTTCCTTCCTGGCCCTCCCAGGTCACCTGGTGAAATCAGAAGAGACAGTCATCCTGCAATGTTGGTCGGATGTCATGTTTGAGCACTTCCTTCTGCACAGAGAGGGGAAGTTTAACAACACTTTGCACCTCATTGGAGAGCACCATGATGGGGTTTCCAAGGCCAACTTCTCCATTGGTCCCATGATGCCTGTCCTTGCAGGAACCTACAGATGCTACAGTTCTGTTCCTCACTCCCCCTATCAGTTGTCAGCTCCCAGTGACCCTCTGGACATGGTGATCATAGGTGAGAGTGTCCAGACTTTCTTCTCATTGTCATTGGGATGCAGAGTGAATGATCCAGGACTTGGAGACCCAGGTGGTTGTAAGGAAGATGAGCTTGGTATTCTTATGGAGAGAGACTGACTTGGTGAGGTCTGTGCCAACAGAGACAGAGAAACAAGAGACACAAGTACAGACCAGGTGTCATAACAGAGGACAAACACAGGGGCCATACAGGGAGTTAGAAAAGACAGAAAGAGTTAAAGGAGACAGACAGACATGTCCCAGACAGAGGTGTCCTTCCATGCTGACTTTGCTCAGAGACCTGGCACAGGTTAGAAGTTTCATTTCTGTTTTACCTCCACAAAGTGTTCTCTACCAGGAGAACCCAAGGACACCCATATTTCTGACCTGAGTTGGGCCCTGTGGCCTCAGGCCTTGTGGCACCTACAGATGCCATGCTTATTCTGACACCTCTGACTTCCATGCAATGGAGAATAATCGTCCCAAAATATCATGGCCCCAGAACACCAACCCCTGTATGCTGTGTGAACTTGTGGTCTCCAGACTGGATTCTGAGGCTCACATTCCAAATAACCCCACATATCACATATGAGAGGATCACTGAGAAGCACAGAGAGAAATCAGGGACACCAAAAAGCAAAGACATAAACACACAGAGAAAGAGCCAGAGGAAGGAGATTGAGAGACTCACAGACACATAAAGAGAGAGAAGAGGGCAGAGAAGTGGAGAGAATGATGGAAGAGAGCAGAGAAAACCACTAAAATTAGAGTCCTGAGGGTGAGGCACAAGGGCATAGAAAGATGGAGATGTGGGGATGAATTGCAGAGATTCCAAAGAGAACTAGAGAGACCGAGAGGCAGAGCAAGACAGATGATAGATGGATAGATACAGATAGATGATGGATAGATATAGATAGATGATATATAGGTAGATGATAGATAATAGGTTATAGATACATAGATGATGATTGATTGATTCATTAATAGATGATACATAGAGATGATGATGATGAAGATAGATGGATAGATAATACATAGAGATAGAGAGGAAGACAAAGAGAGAAATAATAGAGAGAGAGAGATGATACATATATATAGATAATAGATGATTGACGGATAGACAATTGATAGATACATAGATGATATATAGATATAGATGACAGGTAGAGAATTTGTAGATAGGCACCGAATAGATAAATAGATGGATTGATAGATAATAGATAGAAATATGCAGAAAGTTATGAACGGGACACAAACTGAGAAACTCAGAGTTAAAAAAAGTAACATCAAGTCAACCAATCCAAGGAGAGCCAGAGAGAATAAAACAATCCAAAAACGGAAAACATAACTAGAGGTAGGGAAGTGAGGTCAGAGACCTACAGACACAGAGAAGGTGGAAGGAGGAAATAGACATGAAGAGAGATGGGGTGGAGGGTGAGACAGAGAAAGAGAGCATTAGGCCATAGAGCAGGGGAGTGAGTTCTCAGGTCAGGTGTGAGGGGAGCTGTGACAAGGAAGATCCCCCCTGAGGAAACTGCCCCTTCTCCTTCCAGGTCTATATGAGAAACCTTCTCTCTCAGCCCAGCCGGGCCCCACGGTTCAGGCAGGAGAGAATGTGTCCTTGTCCTGCAGCTCCATCTATCCAGGGAGGGGGAGGCCCATGAACGTAGGCTCCCTGCAGTGCGCAGCATCCACGGAACATTCCAGGCCGACTTTCCTCTGGGCCCTGCCACCCACGGAGGGACCTACAGATGCTTCGGCTCTTTCCGTGACGCTCCCTACGAGTGGTCAAACTCGAGTGATCCACTGCTTGTTTCCGTCACAGGTGAGGAAACCCCATATCTGTCCCATGTCCTATGATCCTAGAGCCTTAGCTGAGGAGCTTCCTGCTGATGATGGAGAGAAGCATGGACAGATGCAGAGAGAAGACGCAGCATGCCTGTGAGGGAGGGATCAGGGTGCAGGATGGCACACACAGCACCTCCAAACCCTCCTGCATGGCCTGCATGGAGGCCTCCGATTAGGGCTCCAGGCACCCAGGCAGATGTAGAAAGCGGTCAGGAGAGACCCAGAGAAGGGGAGACTGGGCTCAGTTTGGGGAGATCAGAGGTTCCCTCAGCCCCTCAACCTTACCCATTTCCCAGAAGCCCTTCCTGGCCTCTCACCCACACAGAGATGTCATCACCAGCAACCCCTACATCCTTTTCTTTTTGTTTGAAAAAATATTTATTGAGGTTAAATATACCTATATAGCTTACCACTTTTAACATTTTTTTTTTTTGAGGTGGAGTCTAGCTCTGTCTCCTATGCTGGAATGCAGTGGCACAATCTCAGCTCACTGTAACCTCCGCCTCCTGGGTTCAAGCGATTCTCCTGCCTCAGCCACCTGAGTAGCTGGTACTACAGGCGCCCATCACCACGCCAGGCTACTTTTTGTATTTTTAGTAGAGAGGGGGTTTCACCATGTTGGTCGAGCTGCTCTGGAACTCCTGACCACGTGATCCACCCGCCACAGGCTCCCAAAGTGCTGGGATTACAGGCATGAGCCACCGCGCCCGGCCACGTTTACCAATTTTAAGTGTAAGGTCTAGTGGTCATAAATACATACATATAAATTTTTTGTTTGTTTGTTTTATCCTCCACCCTTTTCTTCCTGGCCTCTGGTAGCCACCATTCTACTCTCTATCTTCATGAGATCCACCTTTTAGCTCCTGTATATGGGTGAGAAATGAGAATATTTGTAATGACTTCCAGTTCCATCCATGTGGCTGCAAATATCAGGATGTTATTCTTTCTATGGATGAGTAGTCTCCGCTGTGCGTATGTACTACATTCTCTCTATCCATTCATCCACTGATGGGCAGGTAGGTTGACTCCACATCTTGGCTACTGTGAAGAGTGCTGCACCAATCATACGAGTGCAGATATCACTTCGATACATTGATTTACTTTCCTTTGGATATAAACCCAGTAGTGAAATTGCTGGATACTATGAAAGTTCTCTTTTTAGTTTTTCGTTTGTTGTTTTGTTTTTGTTTTTGAGACAGTTTCCCTCTGTGCCCAGGCTGGAGTACAAGTGATGTGATCTTGGCTCATTGCAACCTCCGCCTCCTGGGTTCAAATGATTTTCCTGCCTCAGCCTCCCTAGTAGCTGGGATTACAGGTGCACGCCACCATGCCGGGATACTTTTTGGTTTTTTTTAGTGTACATGGGGTTTCCCCAGGTTGGCTAGGCTGCTCTCAAACTCATGACCTCAACTGAGGTGCCCGCCTCGGTCTCCCAAAGTGCCGGGATTACAGGCATGATCCACTTCATCCAACCTCTTTTTAGTTCTTTAAAGGACTTCCATACTTTTCTCCGTAATGGCTGTACTAATTTACACTCCTACCAACAGGGTACCAGGGTTCTCCTTTCTCTACCACCTTGCCAGCATTTGTTTTGCCTGTCTTGCAGCTAAAAGCCATTTTATTTTATTTCATTTTATTTTGAGATGGAGTTTCGCTCTTGTCACCCAGGCTGGAGTGCAGTGGTGCGATCTCGGCTCACCGCAACCTCCACCTCCCAGGTTCAAGCGATTCTCCTGCCTCAGCCTCCCGAGTAGCTGGAATTACAGGCACACGCCACCACGCCCGACTAATTTTTGTATTTTTAGTAGAGACAGTGTTTCTCCATGTGGGTCAGACTGGTCTCAAACTCCCGACCTTATGAGATTCGCCCACCTCGGGCTCTCAGAGTTCTAGGATGACAGACATGAGCCACCTCGCCCGGCCTAAAAGCCATTTTAATGGGGTGAGATGAAAACTCACTTTGATTTTAATTCGCGTTTCTCTGATGATGAGTGATACTGAGCACTTTTTCGTATGTGGGGAAATTTCATGTCTTTTGCTCCTTTTTCAATTAAATCATTTGTTTTATTGAGTTGTTTGAGCTTCTTATACTTCTAGTTATTAATCCCGTCTCAGAAGCATAGTTTGCACATATTTGCTCCCAATCTGTGGGTTGTCTCTTCACTTTGTTGGTTTATTTTTAGCGGTGCAGAAGTTGCTTAGTTTGAGGTAATCCCAATGGTCTATTTTTGCTTCAATTACTTGTGTTTTGAAGGTTTAAAACAAAATGTCTTCCTTCAGACAAATGTCCTGGAGCATTTCCCCAATATTTTCTTCTACGTGTTTCACAGGTTCAGGCCTTAGACTTACATCTTTAATCCACTTTCATTTGATTTTTGTGTATGGTGACAGGTAGAGGTGCAGTTTCATTCCTCTGCATGTAGATGTCCAGGTTTCCCTGCACTGTTTATTGAAAAAACTGTCCTTTCCTGATTGTGAGTTCTTGGCACCTTTGTCAAAGTCCATTGGATGGGCTGGGCATGGTGGCTAACACCAGCAACTTCAGCACTTTGGGAGGCCAAGGCTGGTGGATCACCTGAGGACAGGAGTACAAGATTACTCTGGCCGACGTGATGAAACATCGTCTCCACTAAAAATATAAAAATTAGCTGAGCATGGTGGTCAGCACCTGTAATACTACTACTCAGGAGTTTGAGGCAAGAGAATTGATTGAACCCAGGAGGCTGAGGTTGCAGTGAACCGAGATTGCACCTCTGCACTCCAGCCTGGGTGACAGAGCGAGACTCCATCTCAAAAGAAAAAATAAAAAAAATTGGATGTAAATGCATGGATTATATCTGTGTTCTTCATTCTGCTCCGTTGTTCTATGTGCCTTTCTTCATGCCAACATCATGCTGTTTTGCTTACTACAGCTCTGTAACATATTTTGAGATCAGGTAGTGTGATGCTCCTGTTTTCTCTTTATACCTTGAAGTCTCAAGACAGTGGGCGTCACATACAAAAATTATGGAAGAAAGGATCCCTGGACTCCCAGGGCCCAATGTTAGATAACAGAGTGTTGGCCATGAACCATCCTCAAAGATTTCCATTGAGTAGAGGACAGACACCCGCATTTCCTCACCTCTCTCCTGTCTCATGTTCTAGGAAACCCTTCAAATAGTTGGCCTTCACCCACTGAACCAAGCTCCAAAACCGGTGAGTACAGGACCCTCTTATATCTGCTTTTGGAACCCTGGGGAGGTGGAAACCTTGGATTCAGGCGTTGACTCAGCATCTCACAGCTCTGACATTGTACGCCTGTCTTCTACCATCTCCGAACTCCAGATACTCCAACAGCGAAAGGGATCTGGGCCCAACACAGGGCTCAGTGAAATCTCTTCATCTCTCATTTTATGGAGCTGAGACCTCCTACAAGCTAGAAGAATGATTGCCAATCTGACATCCTTCTCAGGAAAAATGCAATGTTTGTTCTGCTTGCATTCCTAACTGGAGGATAAATTCCTGGGGGCTTGAGAGAGGGAAGGGAAGGGAACATCTGATGAGGGCGAGGTGTTTTAGAGAAGTTCCACTTGCCAAGGAATGAGCTCCTGTTGGTCATGAAACAACCCTGGCTGACTCAGCAGAGCAAGAGCCTTGCCGTAACAGAGAACAGAGCTCATGCACGCACACTTCGACTCACTGACTTATTCAGCCACGGCCCCATGCTCAGGTTGTGCAGTGTGGAAGCTTTTCCTATTGTTGCCATAACAAATTTCCACAAGATTCGTGGGTGAAAACAAAACGGTTATTTAATTATCTTACAGTGCTCTAGCTCAAAGCATGAAGTGCATCTCACTGGGCTAAAATCAAGATGACAGCAAGCCTGCCTTCCCTCTGAGGATTCCAGGCAAGAATCTGCTTCTCACTTGTCCCATCTTATAAAGGCTCCCAGTTCTTTGGCTGCTGGTCCCCTTCCTCCTTCCTCAAAACCCACAAAGACTGGTCACATCTCACATGGCATCACTCAGACCCTTCTTCCTTACCACACCTCTTTCTCTGAATGCTGCTCTCCCTTCTTCCTCATCTTTTGAAAACTTGGGGATTCTATTGGGTTCACCAAGATGAAAATCCGTCATAATCTCCCGGAAATCATTCAGGATACCCTTGTTTTAAGTTCAGCTGATTAGCAACCGTAATTCCATCTGCAATCTTCATTCCTCCTTTCCATGTAAAATAACATATTCACAAGCTATGGAGGCTAGGACAGGGACATTTTGGGGTGGGACAGCATTCTCCTGCCTTCCACAAATGGTGAACAAGATGCATTTGGCCTCTGCTCTTGGGACACTGATATTGCAGATGGTTAAATGGGAGGACAGAAAATGAATGCACAAGTGGACCAATAAATGAATGATCCATTGGGAAGCATCTGTGCATGAAATCTATTTGTTTGTTTGTTCGTTTGTTTATTGAGACAGAGTCTCCCTCTGTCTTCCAGGCTACAGTGCAGTGTCACGATCTTGGCTCACTGCAACCTGCGTCTCCTGGATCCAAGTGATTCTCCTGCCTCACCCTCTTGAGTAGCTGGGATTACAGGCAACTGCCACCATGCCCGGCTAATTCTTTTTGTATATTTTTTGTAGAGAGGATGTTTCACCATGTTGGCCAAGCTTGTCTGAAACTCCCAACCTCAAGTGATCCGACCATCTCAGCATCCCAAAGTACTGGGATAAAAGACGTGAGCCACTGTGCCCAGCCAGAATTCAAAATCAATAATAGATAATGCTGAGTGTATAATTTTGGGTGACAGAGAAGGTCTCACTATTCAGATATTTGTGACATTAATGAAAAACACGGATTGAACCCCTGAAAGATTGGCGGAAGGATTTTGCACACACAGCTGTCAGCCGTGAAGGCAGAAAGCTGAAAACAATCTGATGTGGAAGGAAGAGGCTCTGCCTCAAATGCTGGGAATGATGTGGGGAGAATGACAAGATGACTGTAGGGAGACGGAGAGCACACTGGGTACACAGGAAACTAAGGAGCAACAAGGAGTGTGTGTTTGACACTCACAGCCATTGGACTCACCTCGAGGTAACCAGGAATCCCTACATGATTAATATGACGGACATGAAAATAAGGGAGGCTCAGTTGCATAACTGGAATCTAGGAGACCGTGGAAAAGGCAATTGCCGCCCCACTGGTGAAATGTGGTGCTGATTTAGACACTAAATGAATGAAGTAGATGGATATAAGATATGCTTGTGAGGTAGAATCATTGGCTGGAAAGGCTTGCTGGGTTTGATTTTCCTACTTGTTTAATCCTCGCTTAATTAATTTCTTTCTGAGATTTATTCATCCTACACATAAATCAATACCTGGCAAAGGAGTGACAGATATATGAGGGGTGGTGGAAATGAAGAGACCTATTATAGCATAATATACAAGTTGTGAACGGTGGCTCACGCTTGTAACCCAGCACTGCAGGAGGCCAAGGCGGGTGGATTCCATGAAGTCAGGAGTTCCAGACCAGCCTGGCCAACATGGTGAAACCCTATCTGTACTAAAAATACAAAAATTAGCCGAGCATGGTGGTGCATCCCTGTAATCCCAGCTCCTACTCTGGAGGATGAAGCAGGAGAATGACTTCAACCCAGGAGGTGGAGGTTGCAGTGAGTGGAGATTGCATCACTGCACTCCAGCCTGGGTGACACAAGGAGACTCCGTCTCAAAAAATAAAAATAAGAAATGCATAAATATAATAAAACACACACGAATGACAAAGGCACCTGAATTCCAATCATCATTTTTCTATTTCTCTATAATTACTTCTTTGATCCTTTATCTTATCCATTAGGCAATGAGCCTAAAACCTCTTCCCTATTTGGCTTTCTGTGAGCATGAGATCACATAGAAAATGTGAAAGCCCGCTGAATCCTCCAGCACGGATCCTGGAATAGAGAAAGTGCTCTGGTCATCGCAAAAAAAAACTTGCCCACTCACCCAAATCCCCCACCTCACCCCTACTTCCAATCACCTGTGGAGATTCAGATAGACCATGGGGAGGAAACATTAATACTCCTTGGAGTGAGTCCAGATCTTGGAATCAGAGATCAGCGACAGCACTAGCTCCTGCTCCCCTTTCCTACTAATTCACAGGAGGACAGGTGGTATTGAAGCAATAGATGGTCGAGGGGGTGGTCCTTCCCCCAGCCTCTCGGGTAGAACAGCAGCCTAACATGTGTCTCCCGAGATCACAAAGAGCAGCACATTTCACACGGGCTTCAACACTATTTCCTGGCCGTTTGACATAAGAGAATCTTGCTTCGCTATTTTTAATCGTGATGTCACCTTTGTTTCCTTTCCTTGGTGAATGCAATTTGTTTGACTCAAGAATGCTGTGGATGTAGAAATCCTAAAGCACATTCGCTGTGTATCAATCCCAGTGCAGTCTTCCCAGAGAAGACTCTAAACAAATCCTGGACTGCACCTGGGCCTATGCCAATTCCTATCACTCACCGTCACTCCAGGGAGACAGAACACACAGAGAATACATTACACAGGCAGGTTCATTACTAACAGATAAGCAGCGAGTGACAACAGAAGCCTGCATTTCAATGTGAGCCAGTCCCTCAAGGCTCAGAAAAGCTGCTCGGGACATATGGAGTCACCCCATTTGCAGTGTAGCTGGGGGAAGCCAGAAAGCAGCCCAGCCTGGGTTTTGTACCCTGGAGCCACAGGAAGCACTCAGCTAAAGCACTGCATGACGTCCTCCTCCAGGAAGAACAGGAAGACAGCCCAGGCTGTTCTGAGACATTCCTCCTGATCTCAGGATGTTGCTATCTTAGTCCATTTTTGTTGCTCTAAAGGAACACTTGAGCCTGGGTAACTTCTAAAGAAAAGAGATTGGTTTGCCTCACAGTTCTGCAGGCTGTACTGGAAGCATGGCACCAGAATCTATTTCTCGTGACGGCCTCAGGCTGCTCCCACTCTGGCAGAAGGGAAGGAGGGTCTGTCTGTGCAGAGACCGCAGAGATCACACGGCAAGAGAGAGAGTAAGGGGGAGAGGGAGCAATGGAGCTTCCAAGCTCTTTTTAACAACCAGCTCTCCAGGAACTAACAGAGGGGGAACTTGCTAACCCCGTCTCCTTGGGACAGCATTGATCTGTTCATGATGGATCCACCTCCATGACCCAAACACCTCTGAAGAGGCCCAACCTCCCACAATGGGGGTGAAATTTCAATGTGAGGTTTGAAAGGGTCAAACATCTCAACTAAAGTAGTTGTATCCTCAGCACGTTCTATGGTTACTATGAGAGCTATAATTGAGAAAGCAGGGGAAAGCTAGGTCTCCCGCCATTTGGGTGCTTGTCCTAAAGAGACGTTGTATGTGGTTACCTGCCAATCAAGAAATGCGAGACAATTCATAAAGAGGAACTGCTATGATTAGCTTCTTATTGGTGTCTCCTCTTCTTCCAGGTAACCCCAGACACCTACATGTTCTGATTGGGACCTCAGTGGTCAAAATCCCTTTCACCATCCTCCTCTTCTTTCTCCTTCATCGCTGGTGCTCCGACAAAAAAAGTAAGTCTCACGAAGCAGAGGCCAGAGAGCTCAGGGCCATGTGGGGAAGCAGGATGGGAGCACGCGGATGTGTGTTCCTCACCAGCAGGATGGTCCCTGGCCCAAGACAGGAGCCACAGAGGCAGGACTTTCTAGAGAGAGCACCAGATTCCCTTCCCCTGCCTTCAGCTCACAGACCATTGCCTGATTCTGAACTGTATCCTCACGTCCCCTGCAGCCACTCACATCCAGGAGAAGGTTCCATGACAGGCAGAAAGTGGGAGATAGAATCAATGGGATGGGACCTCAGAGCTATTCATGGGATGGGTCCTTGAACTCAGAGAGATAGAATGTCTGAGTCTGCTGTTGGCAACTGAGGGACCTCAGGCACCTATGGCCTCCCCCTGTTTGTTGGTATCTGCTTATGAAATGAGGACCCAGAAGTGCCCTCCGAGCTCTTTTGTTGACTTCCGTCTTCTACAGATGCTGCTGTAATGGACCAAGAGCCTGCAGGGAACAGAACAGTGAACAGCGAGGTAGGTGCTCCTCGGCCCAGCCTCGTGGCTAGTCTTATTCCCAAAGAGTCCTGAAAAATGTGAGCACCCTCCCTCACTCAGCATTTCCCTCTCTCCAGGATTCTGATGAACAAGACCATCAGGAGGTGTCATACGCATAATTGGATCACTGTGTTTTCACACAGAGAAAAATCACTCCCCCTTCTCAGAGGCCCAAGACACCCCCAACAGATACCAGCATGTACATAGAACTTCCAAATGCTGAGCCCAGATCCAAAGTTGTCTTCTGTCCACGAGCACCACAGTCAGGCCTTGAGGGGATCTTCTAGGGAGACAACAGCCCTGTCTCAAAACCGGGTTGCCAGCTCCCATGTACCAGCAGCTGGAATCTGAAGGCATCAGTCTTCATCTTAGGGCATCGCTCTTCCTCACACCACGAATCTGAACATGCCTCTCTCTTGCTTACAAATGTCTAAGGTCCCCACTGCCTGCTGGAGAGAAAACACACTCCTTTGCTTAGCCCACAATTCTCCATTTCACTTGACCCCTGCCCACCTCTCCAACCTAACTGGCTTACTTCCTAGTCTACCTGAGGCTGCAATCACACTGAGGAACTCACAATTCCAAACATACAAGAGGCTGCCTCTTAACACAGCACTTAGACACGTGCTGTTCCACCTCCCTTCAGACTATCTTTCAGCCTTCTGCCAGCAGTAAAACTTATAAATTTTTTAAATAATTTCAATGTAGTTTTCCCGCCTTCAAATAAACATGTCTGCCCTCATGGTTTCGGTAACGAGACTCTTTTCTTGCCTAAGGCTTCCGGTGTTATCATTACCATGTCCACATAACCCCATCTGTTCTCCATTGGGTTCTCAGCCCTGGACTCTGAGCTTCTGGAAGCAGAATGGAGCCTGATTTGTCTCTGAGACTCCAATTTCCATCCAAAGATACAGCACATAGGAGGCTCCAAGGATCGTGAATCACATGAACAAGTGATATTCTTACTCTCTGCAGACCTGGAAAGCTGGCAGAGTCATTCCACGATGAAACATTTGTAGAGTCATAGGCCTTGTTAGTCTCATCTCCACGGGGACACATATCAACATATCATCTTTCATAATATAAATATACAGTCGGTCCTCCATATCTGTGGGGTTTACAGGTGTTTATTGAACCAACAATAAATCAAAAATATTTTCAGAAAAAAATCCCCGAAGTTTCAAGAAGCAAAAAACTATGTTGAATCGACACAAATTGAGTGGCGTGTAGGCTGTGTCAGGAATTATAAGTAATCAAGAGATGATTTCATGTATACAAGAGGATGTGCATGGGTTCTATGCAATTGCTATGCTATTTTTTTTTTTTTGAGACAGTCTCACTCTCTCACCCAGGCTGGAGTGCAGTGGCATGATCTCAGCTCACTGCAACCTCCGCCTCCCAGGTTCAAGCGATTGTCTTCCCTCAGCCTCCCCAGTAGCCTCCCCTAGGATTACAGGCACGTGCCACCATGCACAGATAAATTTTTTTGTGTGTGTATTTTTAGTAGAGACGGGGTTTCAGAATGTTGGACCAGCTGGTCTTGAACTCCTGACCTCGTGATCTACCCAACTCAGCCTCCCAAAGTGCTGGGATTACAGGCGTGAGCCACGGTGCCCAGCTTCGCTATGCCATTTCATGCAAGGGGCTTGAGCATCTGCAGATTTTGGTATCTGAATGGGGATCCTGGAACCAATCACCCAGGAATAGTGAAGGACCACAGTATATAATTTTTATTTGTCAATCTTAAAAATAAAGCATAAAAAGTTTACAACAACAAGATAAAAAATAAGAAGTGTTTTTATAGTGTGAGGATAAGTTTAGATTTATTTTTTCCTACGTGTAACCCTATGGTCCTGTGTTATTTATTGAGAAAATATTCTATTCCACCTTAAACTACATGGCAGCCTTTGTCAACTATAAAGGGACTGTGTATCCACAGATGTATTTTAGACACAGTTTTCTGCCCAGTGGTTCTCTGTATCCCCTCTCATGAGGATGCTGCATTTCATATAAACTTATAGAACCCCTTAAAATTTGGTAACCTGAGTTCTCTGATTTGTTATTATAGGTTATTTAGTTTGCTTTTTTTTTTCTTTCTTGAGACAGACTCTTCCTCTGTCACCCAAGCTGGAGTTCAGTGGCTTGAGCTCAGCTCACTGCAGCCTCCGCCTCCCAGGTTCAAGCAATTCTCGTGCCTCAGGTTTAGTACTAGAAACTCATCAGGAAAATTAGAATGGCTTTTTGTCACAATTACTCTGATAATGTTAATAATACCTCTTAGATATTTTGCACATTACACATGAAGAAAAGTTTGAATCTCAGATAAAAACAAAAATACATCAAAAGTCTTTAATGTAAGCACAGAATTCAATCACCTCATGTGTGAGAGGTTGGATCTGAGACATCTTTTGAGTCTGGTCATAGTGAAGGATGCAAGGTGGCAATTGTAGTCACAACAATTTCCAGGAAGCCATGTTCCGCTCTTGAGCGAGCACCCACTGGGCCTCATGCAAGGTAGAAAGAGCCTGCGTACGTCACCCTCCCATGATGTGGTCAACATGTAAACTGCATGGGCAGGGCGCCAAATAACATCCTGTGCGCTGCTGAGCTGAGCTGGGGCGCGGCCTCCTGTCTGCACCGGCAGCACCATGTCGCTCACTGTCGTCAGCATGGCGTGCGTTGGTGAGTCCTGGAAGGGAATAGAGGGAGGGAGAGTGGGGATGGAGATCTCGGCCTAGAGGTAAAGATATGGGCCTGGAGTGGAGATATGGGCCTGGAGTGGAGATATGGGCCTGGGTGTGGAGATATGGGCCTGGAGGTGTAAATATGGGCCTGGAGTGGAGATATGGGCCTGGAGGGGAGATATGGGCCTGGGTGTGGAGATATGGGCCTGGAGTGGAGATACGGGCCTGGAGTGGAGATCTGGGCCTGGAGTGGAGATATGGGCCTGGAGTGGAGATATGGGTCTGATGTGGAGATATGGGCCTGGAGTGGAGATATGGGCCTGGAGTGGAGATATGGGCCTAGAGGGGAGATCTGGGCCTGGAGTGGAGATATGGGTCTGATGTGGAGATATGGGCCTGGAGTGGAGATATGGGCCTGGAGTGGAGATAGGGGCCTGGAGTGGAGATATGGGCCTGGAGTGGAGATCTGGGCCAGGAAGTGTTGATCTGGGCCTGGAGCCTGGGTCTCTCCACAGCTGAGAGCCCTGTTCTTGGCAGCAGGTAGCAGGGAGGCTAAGTTTACCTTCAGCCCAGCAAGGGCCTGGCTGCCAAGACACACAGTGCAGTGGGGGCAGCAGGGTGCCCTGGTTTGCCTGCAGTTGGATCGTCTATCATGATCTTTCTTTCCAGGGTTCTTCTTGCTGCAGGGGGCCTGGCCACTCATGGGTGAGTCCTTCCCCAAACCTTAGGGTGTCATCTCCCCACATAAGAGGATTTTTCTGAAACAGGAGGGAAGTCCTGTCGGGGAGTCTCTCATAAACTAGGAAGAGGGGACCCTTGGATACTCGGCCCACATTTCTGACCTCGCCCTCCCCGGCCTTTCTTTCCCTTTCCTGAGTCAAGCTCTGTGAAGACTGGGGTGAGACTGGGGTGCTCCAAGCTGGGGTGTGCAGGGAGGAAGTGGTGTCAGCAGCAGAGAAAGAGAGGGAAGCAGTGCTAGGAACAGCAGGTCCTCTGAGGACAAAGGTATAACTGACACCCTCCAGCGTTTCCGTGACGGTAGGGGCTGCAGTGTGGCTGCGGTCTTTCTACCAGAAGAGGGGGGAAACCACAGCCATGGCCCTGACATTCCAAATCCTCTGAGGGGGCTCAGTTCATGAATTGGCTGATATTCCATTCACATAGGACATGCCCTCCATGCCGTGTCTACTTTGTGTTATTTTATGTGAGTAATTTTGCAGTATTAAAATCTAGTAAGAGTCACTTATTCAGCACTTGCTCAAAGTTCTCAGCTGACACTTGTTGTAGGGAGACGCCATGTCTATGTGGGGTGGGTCCTTCCTGTAGCCCTGGGCACCCAGGTGTGGTAGGAGCCTTAGAAAGCGGAAATGGGAGAATCTTCTGAGCACAGGGAGGGAGGGGTGGCTCCACATCCTCCTCTCTAAGGCAGTGCCTCCTTCTCCCCCAGGTGGTCAGGACAAACCCTTCCTGTCTGCCCGGCCCAGCACTGTGGTGCCTCAAGGAGGACACGTGGCTCTTCAGTGTCACTATCGTCGTGGGTTTAACAATTTCATGCTGTACAAAGAAGACAGAAGCCACGTTCCCATCTTCCACGGCAGAATATTCCAGGAGAGCTTCATCATGGGCCCTGTGACCCCAGCACATGCAGGGACCTACAGATGTCGGGGTTCACGCCCACACTCCCTCACTGGGTGGTCGGCACCCAGCAACCCCCTGGTGATCATGGTCACAGGTCAGAGGCTTTCTGTCTGGGCTTCTCACTGTCCCACCTCCTGAATCCCAGAGCTTCTGGTGGGGGTGTCCATCAGGGTCCCATCACCCAGGCCCCAACTGTATTTGGGGTCAAGGGGGATTGAATACAGGGGAAATGGGCGCTGTGGTGGGAAGAATAACTGTCGCCAATGATGGTTACATTGTAAACCCTGGAGCCTGTGACTATTTATGTTATAGGGCAGGGGACTGAAGGGGAAGGTGGAGCTCAGGTTGTTGATGAGTTGACCTTGAGATGGGGAGACAGCCTGGACTGTCCTGCTGGGCTCAGTGTAATCACAAGGGTCCGCGTGAGAGGTGGAGGAAGAGGGGAGTGGGGATTAGAGCAGTGTAGTGGGAGGGAGACACTATCAGCCACTGTGGGCTTTGAAGGTGGAGGAAGGCCACTAGTCACAGAATGCAGGTGGCCTCTAAGGGCTGGAGAAGTCAAGAGAACTGATTCGCTGAGTCTCCAGAGGGAACGCAGCCCTGCAGATGCCTTGATTTCAGCACAGGGAGAACTGGATCCAATTTCTGTCCCCAGAAGTGGAAGGGGTCAGTGTGTTCTCTCCTGCTGCCATGTTTGTGATAATTTTCTGCAGCAGCAACAGGAAACCGACACAGGAACCCAGGTCAAGGACAAGCTAGGAAACCAAACAAGGATAGCCAGGTGTGGTGGTGGGCACGAGTAATCCAACGACTGGGGAGGCTGAGGCAAGAGAATCACTTGAACCAGGGAGGCAGAGGTTGCAGTGAGCCAAGACAACACCACTGCACTCCAGCCTGGGTGAAAAAGTGACTGTCTCAAAAATAAATTAATTAATCAATTAATTAAAGAAACCAAACAAGGAGAAGGTTGGCTACCGTGGGATCAGCAAGGGTGGGATGCTGATGCCACCACCAGGCTCCATCCACATAGGAAGGGGTTGATGCTCCTGGAACCAGCACCAGGGACCACCCTATGGAAGCTGGGGCCATGGAGAAGGCACAGACATGGCAGGAGAGGCTCCCAATCCCCATCAGGAACAGGGTGTGTGGACACTGATGTCTGCCTTACTGATGAGTTGATACCTCTGCCAGAGACTCCAATTTGTTCAAAAGAGATTGATTCAGGCTGCTGAGAGCCTGGACATGCAGCCTGTCCTCTTCCACCCCCACATAGACAGCAGGAAAGAGACTAGTGGGAAAGAGATACAACAGCCCAAGAGATGAGGCTCTCTTCACAGTGGGAAGGGAGTCAGGGGCTACTGGAGACAGAGGGACAGAGAAGAGGGAGGAAGACAAATGGAGGGACCTGCACCAGGGGATATGGGCACAGAAAAGACACGGAGACACAGAGAGGGAGGAGAGAGACAGACCTCTGGGAGGGGAACCCTCACTCATTCCAGGTGCCATGGATGGGATGATAAAGAGAGATGCCTTCTAAACTCACAACTTCTCTTTCTAGGAAACCACAGAAAACCTTCCCTCCTGGCCCACCCAGGGACCCTGCTGAAATCAGGAGAGACAGTCATCCTGCAATGTTGGTCAGATGTCATGTTTGAGCACTTCTTTCTGCACAGAGAGGGGATCTCTGAGGACCCCTCACGCCTCGTTGGACAGATCCATGATGGGGTCTCCAAGGCCAACTTCTCCATCGGTCCCTTGATGCCTGTCCTTGCAGGAACCTACAGATGTTATGGTTCTGTTCCTCACTCCCCCTATCAGTTGTCAGCTCCCAGTGACCCCCTGGACATCGTGATCACAGGTGAGAGTGTCCAGACATTCTTCTCGTTGTCATTGGGACACAGAGTGAATGATCCAGGACTTGGAACCCCCAGGTGGTCATGAGGAAGATAAGCGTGGGATTCTTATGGAGAGAGACTGACTCGGTGAGGTCTGTACCAACAGAGACAGGGAAACAGGAGACATAAGTACAGACCAGGTGTCATAACAGAGGACAGACACAGGGGCCATACGGGGAAGTAGAAAAGAGAGAAAGAGGTAAAGGAGACACTCAGACAGACAGACATGTGCCAGAGAGAAGTGTCCTTCCATGCTGACTTTGCTCAGAGACCTGGCACAGGTTAGAAGTTTCATTTCTGTTTTGTCTCCACAAAGTGCTTCTACGAGGAGAACCCAAGGACACCCATATTTCTGACCTGAGTTGGGCCCTGTGGCCTCAGGCCTTGTGGCATCTACAGATGCCATGTTTATTCTGACACCTCTGCCTTCCATGCAGTGGAGCCATAATTATCCCAGGATATCATGGCCCCAGAACACCAACCCCTAAATACTGTGTGTACTTGGTGTCCCCAGACTAGATTCTGAGGCTCATATTCCAAATAATCCTACATATAATAGGATCACTGAGAGACACAGAGATAAATCAGGGACTTCAAAAAGCAAAGGCATAAACACACAGAGAATGAGCCAGAGGAAGGGGATTGAGAGACTCACAGACACACAAAAAGAAAGAAAAGAGGGCAGAGGAGTGGAGAGAATGCTGGAAGGGAGGAGAGAAAAGCCCCAAAATCAGAACCCTGAGGGAGGGGCACAAAGACAGAGAAAGATAAAGATGTGGGGATGGATTGCAGAGATTCCAAATAGAACTAGAGAGACTGAGAGGCAGAGAAAGACAAGGAGATGGAGAGAGACAGATGATAGATGGATAGATAGATATAGATAGATGATAAATAGGTAGATGATAGATAATGGATAGGTTATAGATACATAGATGATGATTGATAGATGATACATAGAGATGATGATGATGATGATGATGAAGATAGATAGAAGACACATATATAAATATATAGATACATAGATGATACATAGAGACTGACAGGCAGACAGAGAGGTAATAGAGAGAGAGAGAGATGATACATAGATACAGATAATACATAGATGATTGATGGATAGACAGATAGACAATTGATAGATAAATGATACATAGATATAGATGACAGATAATTTGTAGATAGACACAAAATAGATAGATAGATAATAGATAGAAATATGCAGAAAGTTATGAACAAGACAGAAAGTGAGAGACTCAGAATTATAGAAAAAGGAAGATCAAGTCAACCAATCCAAGGAGAGTCAGAGAGAATAAAACAATCCAAAAAGGGAAAGCATACCCAGGGGTGGGGAAGTGAGGTCAGAGACCTAGAGAGACAGAGAAGGCAGAAGGAGGAAATAGACATGAAGAGAGTTGGGGTGGAGGGTGAGAGAGAGAGAGAGCATTAGGTCATAGAGCAGGGGAGTGAGTTCTCAGCTCAGGTATGAGGGGAGCTGTGACAAGGAAGAACCTCCCTGAGGAAACTGCCTCTTCTCCTTCCAGGTCTATATGAGAAACCTTCTCTCTCAGCCCAGCCGGGCCCCACGGTTCAGGCAGGAGAGAACGTGACCTTGTCCTGTAGCTCCTGGAGCTCCTATGACATCTACCATCTGTCCAGGGAAGGGGAGGCCCATGAACGTAGGCTCCGTGCAGTGCCCAAGGTCAACAGAACATTCCAGGCAGACTTTCCTCTGGGCCCTGCCACCCACGGAGGGACCTACAGATGCTTCGGCTCTTTCCGTGCCCTGCCCTGCGTGTGGTCAAACTCAAGTGACCCACTGCTTGTTTCTGTCACAGGTGAGGAAAACCCGTGTCTGTCCCATGTCTTATGATCCTAGAGCCATAGCTGAGGAGCTTCCTGCCGATGATGGGGAGAAGCATGGACAGATGCAGAGAGAACACGAAGACTGGGTGTGAGGGGGGGGGTCAGGGTGCAGGATGGCAGACAGGGCACCTCCAAACCCTCTTGCATGGCCTGCATGGAGGCCCATGGTCAGGGCTCCAGGCACCCAGGCAGATGGAGAAAGCGGTCAGGACAGACCCAGAGAAGGGGAGACTGGGCTCAGTTTGGGGAGATCAGAGGTTCCCTCAGCCCCTCAACCTTACCCATTTCCCAGAAGCCCATCCTGGCCTCTCACCCACACAGAGAGATGTCATCACCAGCAACCCCTACACTCTTTTCTTTTCATTTTCAAAAATATTTATTGAGGTTAAATGTAACTATATAATTTACCAACTTTACCATTTTTAAAAGTAAAATCTAGTGGTCATAAATACCTTTATATGCTGGGTGTGGTGGTTCACGGTTGTAATCTTGGCGCTTTGAGAGGCCAAGAAAGGTGGATCATTTAAGATCAGGGACTCGAGATCAGCCTGGCCAACATGCGGGAAATTCATCTTTACTAAACAGACAAGAAAAATTAGCCAAGCATGCCGGCATGCACCTGTAGTCCTAGCTACTTGGGAGGCTGAGGCAGGAGAAGCACTTAAAGCCAGGAGGCAGAGGTTGCACTGAGCCGAGATCATGCCACTGCACTGCAGCCTGGGAGACAGAGAGAGACTCTGTTTCTAAATAAATAAATACATCTATATTCTTTTTTTTGTTACCCTCCACCCTTCCCTTCCTGGCCTCTGGTATCCACCATTCTATTCTCTACCTTCATGAGATCCACCTTTTATCTCCTGCATGTGGTGAGAAATGGGAATCTTTGTAATGACCTCCAGTTCCATCCATGTGGCTGCAAATGACAGGATGTTATTGTTTCTATGGATGAGTAGTCTCCACCGTGTGTGTGTACTACAGTTCTCTATCCATTCACCCACTGATAGGCAGGTAGGTTGACTCCACATCTTGGCTACTGTGAACAGTGCTGGAACAGTCATTTGAGTGCAGATATCACTTCGATACACTGATGTCCTTTCCTTTGGATATAAACCCAGTAGTGAAATTGCTGGACACTATGAAAGTTCTCTTTTTTTTTTTTTCTTTTTTGAGAAAGAGTTTCCCTCCTTAGTCCAAGCTGGAGTCAAAGTGGTGCGATCTTGGCTCATTGCAACCTCTGCTTCCTAGGTTCAAACGATTCTCCTGACTCAGCCTCCCTAATAGCTGTGATTACAGGTGCACGCCACCATGCCTGACTAATTCTTGTATTTTTTAGCACAGACGGGATATCCCAATTTTGGGCAGGCTGCTCTCAAACTCCTGACCTCAAGTGAGGTGCCTGCCTCGGTTTCCCAAAGTGCTGAAGTTACAGGCATAAGCCACTATGCCCAGCCTCCTTTTAGTTTTTTAAAGTTTTTCCATACTTTTCTCCATAATAGTTGTACTAATTTACATTCCTACCAACAGGGTACCAGGGTTCTCCTTTCTCTACCATCTTGCCAGCATTTGTTTTGCCTGTCTTGCAGATAAAAGCCATTTTACTTTACTTTATTTATTTATTTATTTATGTTGAGATGGAGTTTCACTCATAGTCGCCCAGGCTGGAGTGCAAGGGTGTGATCTCGGCTCACTGCAACCTCTGCCTCCCGCGTTCAACTGATTCTCCTGCCTCAGCCTCCAAAGTAGCTGGGATTACAGGCATGTGCCACCACGCCTAGCTAATTTTTGTATGTTTAGTAGAGAGGGAGTTTCTCCATGTTGGTCAGGCTGGTCTCCCGACCTCAGGTGATCCGCCCACCTCCGCCTCCCAAAGTGCTGGAATTACAGGCGTGAGCCACCGGCCTAAAAGGCATTTTAATGGGATGAGATGAAAACTCATCGCGATTGTAATTTACATTTCTGTGATGATGAGTGATGCTGAGCACTTTTTCATATACGTGATCGCCATTTCTATGTTTTGTTTGTGGAGAAATGTCTCCTCATGTCTTTTGCTCGTTTTTTAATTAAATTGTTTTATTGAGTTGTTTGAGCTTCTTATATTTCCAGTTATTAATCCCATCTCAGATGAATAGTTTGCAAATATTTGCTCCTATTTTGTGGGTTGTCTCTTCACTTTGTTGGTTTATCTTTGGTGGTGCAGAAGTTGCTTGGTTTGATGTAATCCTAATGGTCTATTTTTTGCTTTGATTACTTGTGTTTTGAAGGTTTTAAACAAAATGTCTTTCGTCAGACAAATGTCTTCCCCATTATTTTCTTCTACATGTTTCATAGGTTCAGGCCTTAGACTCATGTTTTTAATCCATTTTCATTTGATTTTTGTGTAAGGTGACAGGTATAGATGCAGTTTTATTCCTCTGCATGTAGATATCCAGTTTTCCCCACACCATTTATTGAAGACTGTCCTTTCTTGATTGTAAGTTCTCGGCACCTTTGTCAAAGTCCATTAAATGGGCTGGGCATGGTGGCTCACACCTGCAATTCCAGCACTTTGGGAGGCCGAGGCGGGTGGATCACCTAAAGCCAGGAGTTCAAGACCAGGCTGGCCAACAGAGTGAAACCTCGTCTCTACTAAAAATACAAAAATTAGCTGAGCATGGTGATCAGTGCCTGTAATACCACTACTCAGGAGTTTGAAGCAAGAGAATTTCTTGAATCCAGGAAGTGGAGGTTGCATTGAGCTGAGATTGCACCTCTACACTCCAGCCTGCATGACAGAGCAAGATTCCATCACACACACACAAAAGAAAGCCATTGGATGTAAATGCATGGATTATATCTGTGTTCTCCATTCTGTTCCATTTTTTATGTGCCTTTCTTTATGCCAATGTCATGCTGTTTTGCTTACTACAGCTCTGTAACATATTTCTAAGTGT